>NC_000005.10:180274693-180425139 GCF_000001405.40 Homo sapiens | reverse complement strand
GATTTTACACAAACAAATCCATAAAATTGAAGTGAAGAGAATATTTCCCAGCTATTTCTATGAGGCTGCTATTATGCTGATATCAAAACCGAAGACAAGGCTGGGCATGGTGGCGGGCACCTGTAATCCCAGCTACTTGGGAGGCCGAGACAGGAGAATTGCTTGAACCCAGGAGGCAGAGCTTGCAGTGAGCCAAGATACTGCGACTGAACTCCAGCGCGGGAGACAGAGTGAGACTCCATCTCAAAATAATAATAATTATCATCATCCAAAGACATTACAAGAAAAGAAAATTAAGGACTAAAATCTCTAATGAATATAGATGAATTTTTTAAAGAAAAGTTTATAAAGATTAACTTATAAAGATTAATACATTATGACCTATAGGGGTTTATCTCAAGAAGGCAAGTTTGGCTTAGCATTCATTCAAAAATCGAATAAAATATGTCATGTTTAGTGGGTTGACTAGTGTCCCTCAAAAATGTATGTTGGCTGGGCGCAGTGGCTCACGCCTGTAATCCCAGCACTTTGGGAGGCTGAGGCAGGTGGATCACCCGAGGTCGGGAGTTCGAGACCAGCCTGACCAACATGGAGAAACCCCATCTCTACTAAAAATACAAAATTAGCTGGTGTAGTGGCACATGCCTATAATCCCAGCCTCCCGAGGGAGGCTGAGGCAGAAGAATTGCTTGAACCCAGGAGGTGCAGATTACAGTGGGCAGAGATTGTGCCATTGCACTCCAGCCTGGGCAACAAGAACGAGACTCTGTCTCAAAAAAAAAAAAAAAAAACAACTGTGTGTCAGCCGGGCACAGTGACTCATGTCTGTAATTCCAGCACTTTGGGAGCCTGAGGTGGGAGGCTCGCTTGAGCCCGGAGTTTGAGATGAGCCTGGGAAACATAGTAAGATGCTGCCTCTACAAAAAATTTAAAAATTAGCTGTGTGTAGTGGTATGCACCCGTGGTCTTGGCTACCTGGGAGGCTGAGGCAGGTGGATTGCCTGAGTCCAGGACTTTGAGGCTGCAGTGAGCTGTGATCGTGCCACTGCCCTTCAGCCTAGACAACAGAGCGAGGCCATGTCTCAAAAAAAAAAAAAAAAAAAAAAAGGTCATTTCCACCCAGAACCTCAGAATGTGACCTTATTTGGAAATAGTCTTTTTAGATGTAATTAGTTAAGGATCTCAGATGAAACTGTCCGGAATTTAGGGTGGTCCCTAAGTCCAATGACTGGTGTCCTTGTAAGGAGAGAAGTGACCACAGAGGCAAACAAGAAGGGCCGTGTGAAGGTGAAGGCAGACAGAGATCAGCGCTGCGCCACCATTACCCAGGGAAGGCCTGGGGCCACCAGACGCTGGAAACAGCAGGCAGGTTCTTCCCTGGAGCTTTGAGTGAGCATGGCCCAGCTGGCACCTTGATTTCAGATTTCTAGCCTCCATAACCATGAGAGAATCAATTTTTGTGTTTTAAAGACACCAAGTTTGTGGTAATCTGTTACCATAGGAAACTAGTACACCATATTAAGAAACTAAAAAAGAAAAATCATATAATCACCTCAATCAATTAAAGAAAAAGCATTTGACAAAATCCAACATCTACTCCTGATAAAAAACAAGTTTCAGCAAACTAGGGAGCTTCCTCAACCTGGTAAAGAGCGTATGGAAAACCTCCAGCTAACATAATATTAATACTGAAAGGCTAAATACCTTTTCCTACAACCAGGAATGTGGCAAAAATATTCACCCTCACCACCTCCACTCAGGATTGCACTGGAGGCTCTAGCCAGTGCAGTCAGGCATAAAAAAGAAATAAAAGTCATCCAAATTGGGAAAGAAGAAAAAAACAATGGTTTTATTCACAGATGGCATGATCCCCTATGGAGAAACTATGATGAAATCTACAAACAAAACAAAACAAAAAAAAACCCTACTAGAATTCATAACTGGGTTTAGCAAGATTGCAGAGTTCGAAATAAATATACAAAATTAATTATATTTCTACATATCAGGATTGAAAAATGAGATATTGAAGTTAAAGATAAACATCATTTAAAATAGCATTAAAATATGACAAATCTGAGAAAATATGTGAAAGGCCTGTGTATTCACACTACAAACCATATCTGAGAAAAATTAAAGACTATCTAAATAAATGGGGAGATATACTTCACTCATGTGCTGGAAGATTCTCTATTGCTAAGATGTTTGCTCTACCAAAGTTAATCTACAGATTCAGTGCCATCTCAGTCATAATCCCAGGAAGCTATTTAGTGAAAATTGACTAGGTGATTCTAAAATTCTTATGGAAATGTGAAGGACCTACAACAGCCAAGATAGCTTTTGAGAACAATGAAGGACTAACCCATACCAGATTTCAGGACTTTTAAACTTACAATGATCCAGACAGTGTGGTTATCAGCCTGAAGATACCATCTTTTCAGTTATTTGAGAATTTTTTCATATTTCATTTTAATTTTTTTTTTTTGAGATGGAGTTTCTGTCTTGTCACCCAGGCTGGAGTGCAATGGCACCATCTCGGCTCACTGCAACCTCTGCCTCCCAGGTTCAAGCAATTCTCCTGCCTCAGCCTCCCGAGTAGCCGGAAGTACAGGCGTGCCCACCACGCCTGGGTAATTTTTGTATTTTTAGTAGAGATGGGGTTTCTCCAGGTTGGTCAGGCTGGTCTCGAACTCCTGACCTCAGGTGATCCACCTGCCTTGGCCTCCCAAAGTGCTGGGATTACAGGCGTGAGCCACTGCGCCTGGCCTCCATTTTAATTTATCTATATGCTTCTGACATATATCTTTTTTATTTTATTTATTTATTTATTTAGACAGAGTCTCGCTCTGTTGCCAAGCTGGAGTGTAGTGGTGCCATCTCGGCTCACTACAACCTCCACCTCCCAGGTTCAAGTGATTCTCCTGCCTCAGCCTCCCGAGTAGCTCTCGATCTTTTGACTTCCTGATCTGCCTGCCTCAGCCTGCCAAAGTGCTGGGATTACAGATGTGAGCCACCGCGCCCAGCCTGTTTCTGATATGTATCTTTGCATGTTTTTTAGTGATCACACTAGGGATTGTGATTTGTATATACAACTTTTCACTGTCTGCTCAGAATCAACATTTTGACTTTAAATAGAATACAAAGACCTTCACCACACCCTCTCCTTTTACACCGTAGTTGTCTTATGTGTTGTATCTATTTGCATTAGGAGCCCCACCAGGTAATGCTATAGTTTATTTATTATTTATATGTTATTTATTATTTCTATTTTATTATTTATATATTATTTATTTATTACTTGGTATTTTACTTTAAGTTCCAGGATTACCATTTGACCCAGCGATCCCATTACTGGGTATATACCCAAAGGATTATAAATCATTCTGTTATGAAGACACTTGCACACATGTGTGTCAGGCCTCTGAGCCCAGGCTAAGCCATCATATCCCCTGTGACCGGCACCTATACATCCAGATGGCCTGAAGCAACTGAAGATCCACAAAAGAAGTGAAAATAGCCTTAACTGATGACATTCCACCATTGTGATTTGTTTCTGTCCCAACCTAACTGATCAATGTACTTGGTAATCTCCCCCACCCTTAAGAAGGTTCTTTGTAATTCTCCCCACCCTTGAGAATGTACTTTGTGAGATCCACCCCCTGCCTGCAAAACATTGCTCCTAACACCACCGCCTATCCCAAAACCTATAAGAACCATGATAATCCACCACCCTTTGCTGACCCTTTTCGGACTCAGCCCGCCTGCACCCAGGTGAAATAAACAGCCTTGTTGCTGACACAAAGCCTGTTTGGTGGTCTCTTCACACGGACGCATGAAACAATATGTTTACTGCAGCACTACTTATAGTTTTTTATTATTTCTTTATTTATTTTTTGAGACGGAGTCTCTCTCTGTTGCTCAGGCTGGAGTGCAGTGGTGCGATCTTGGCTCACTGCAACCTCCACCTCCTGGATTCAAGCGATTTTCCTGCCTCAGCCTCCCGCTGAGTGGTAGGCGCCCGCCACCACTCCTAGCAAAATTTTATTTATTTATTTTTATTTTTTAGTAGAGACAGGGTTTCGTCATGTTGGCCAGGCTGGTCTTGAACTCCTGACCTCAGGTGATCCACCTGTCTCGGCCTCCCAAAGTGCTGGGATTACAGGTGTGAGCCACCGTGCCTGGACACTTTTTTATTTTTAACATCAAACATGTTTTAAAGTATTTTAAAGGACCTAATAGAAGAATAGCCTATGTATTTACCCATACATAGGTAAATGTTCTTCTTCCTTTATTCCTCCTGTTTCAAGTTTCCTTTTTATATAATTCCCCTTCCGTCTCAAAAAAATTCCTCTAAAATCTTTGAAAGGTAGGGTACCAGTGACAAATTATCTTAGTTTCTCTTCCTCTGAGAATGTCTTTATTTCACCTCATTCCTGGAGAATATTTTTACTAGATCTGAAATTCCATATTGAACCATTCTTTCCTTCCCACAATTTAACAATAGTCTTCCATTCTCTTCTGTGTGCCATGGTTTCTGATGTGAAATCCGCAGTTATAGGCCAGGTGCGGTGGCTCACTCCTGTAATCCCAGCACTTTGGGAGGCTGAGGCGGGTGGATCACCTGAGGTCAGTGTCAGGCCTCTGAGCCCAGGCCAGGCCATCGCATCCCCTGTGACTTGCAGGTATACATCCAGATGGCCTGAAGTAACTGAAGATCCACAAAAGAAGTAAAAACAGCCTTAACTGATGACATTCCACCATTGTGATTTGTTCCTGCCCCACCCTAACTGATCAATGTACTTTGTAATCTCCCCCACCCTTAAGAAGGTTCTTTGTAATTCTCCCCACCCTTGAGAATGTACTTGGTGAGATCCACCCCTGCCCACCAGAGAACAACCCCCTTTGACTGTAATTTTCCATTACCTTCCCAAATCCTATAAAACGGCCCCACCCCTATCTCCCTTCGCTGACTCTCTTTTCGGACTCAGCCCGCCTGCGCCCAGGTGAAATAAACAGCCATGTTGCTCACACAAAGCCTGTTTGGTGGTCTCTTCACACGGATGCGCATGAAATTTGGTGCCGTGACTCAGATCAGGGGACCTCCCTTGGGAGATCAATCCCCTGTCCTCCTGCTCTTTGCTCCGTGAGAAAGATCCACCTATGACCTCAGGTTCTCAAACCGACCAGCCCAAGAAACATCTCACCAATTTCAAATCTGGTAAGCAGCCTTTTACTCTCTTCTCCAATCTCCCTCACTATCCCTCAGCCTCTTTCTCCTTTCAATCTTGGTGCTACACTTCAATCTCTCCCTTCTCTTAATTTCAATTCCTTTCATTTTCTGGTAGAGACAAAAGAGACACGTTTTATCCGTGGACCCAAAACTCCGGCGCCGGTCACGGACTGGGAAGGCAGCCTTCCCTTGGTGTTTAATCATTGCAGGGACACCTCTCTGATTATACACTCACGTTTCAAGGGTGTCAGACCACGCAGGGACGCCTGCCTTGGTCCTTCACCCTTAGCGGCAAGTCCCGCTTTTCTGGGGAAGGGGCAAGTACCCCAACCCCTTCTCTCCTTGTCTCTACCCCTTCTCTGCTTTTCTGGGGAAGGGGCAAGTACCCCAACCCCTTCTCTCCTTGTCTCTACCCCTTCTCTGCTTTCCTGGGGCAGGGGCAAGTACCCCTCAACCCCTTCTCCTTCGCCCTTAGCGGCAAGTCCCGCTTTCCTAGGGGGCAAGAAACCCCCAATCGCTTATTTCTGCACCCCAACCTCTTATCTCTGTGCCCCAATCCCTTATTTCCGCACCCTGACCTCTTATCTCTGTGCCCCAATCCCTTATTTCCGTGCCCCAACCCCTTCTCTGCTTTTCTGGAGGGCAAGAACCCCCCCCCTCCTTCTCCGTGTCTCTACTCTTTTCTCTGGGCTTGCCTCCTTCACTATGGGTAAGCTTCCACCTTCCATTCCTCCTTCTTCTCCTTTAGCCTGTGTTCTCAAAAACTTAAAACCTCTTCCACTCACACCTGACCTAAAACCTAAATGCCTTATTTTCTTCTGCAATGCCGCTTGACTCCAATACAAGCTCGACAGTAGTTCCAAATAGCTGGAAAACGGCACTTTCAATTTTTCCATCCTACAAGATCTAAATAATTCTCGTCGTAAAATGGGCAAACGGTCTGAGGTGCCTGACGTCCAGGCATTCTTTTACACATCAGTCCCTTCCTAGTCTCTGTGCCCAATGCAACTCGTCCCAAATCTTCCTTCTTTCCCTCCCGCCTGTCCCCTCAGTCCCAACCCCAAGCGTCGCTGAGTCTTTCTAATGTTCCTTTTCTACAGACCCATCTGACCTCTCCCTTCCTCCCCAGGCTGCTCCTCACCAGGCCGAGCTAGGTCCCAATTCTTCCTCAGCCTCCGCTCCTGCACCCTATAATCTTTTCATCGCCTCCCCTCCTCACACCTGCTCTGGCTTACAGTTTCGTTCCGTGACTAGCCCTCCCCCACCTGCCCAGCAATTTACTCTTAAAAAGGTGGCTGGAGCCAAAGGCATAGTCAAGGTTAATGCTCCTTTTTCTTTATCCCAAATCAGATAGCGTTTAGGCTCTTTTTCATCAAATATAAAAATCCAGCCCAGTTCATGGCTCGCTCGGCAGCAACCCTGAGACACTTTACAGCCCTAGACCCTAAAAGGTCAAAAGGCCGTCTTATTCTCAATATACATTTTATTACCCAATCTGTTCCCGACATTAAATAAAACTCCAAAAATTAAATTCCAGCCCTCAAACCCCACAACACGATTTAATTAACCTCGCCTTCAAGGTGTACCATAATAGAAAAAAGTTGCAATTCCTTGCCTCCACGGTGAGACAAACCCCAGCCACATCTCCAGCACACAAGAACTTCCAAACGCCTGAACCGCAGCGGCCAGGCGTTCCCCCAGAACCTCCTCCCCCAGGAGCTTGCTACAAGTGCCAGAAATCTGACCACCAGGCCAAGGAATGCCCGCAGCCTGGGATTCCTCCTAAGCCGCATCCCATCTGTGTGGGACCCCACTGAAAATCGGACTGTTCAACTCACCTGGCAGCCACTCCCAGAGCCCCTGGAACTCCGGCCCAAGGCTCTCTGACTGACTCCTTCCCAGATCTTCTCGGCTTAGCGGCTGAAGACTGACACTGCCCGATCGCCTCGGAAGCCCCCTAGACCATCACGGACACCGAGCTTTGGGTAACTCTCACAGTGGAAGGTAAGTCCGTCCCCTTCTTAATCAATATGGAGTCTACCCACTCCACATTACCTTCTTTTCAAGGCCTGTTTCCCTGCCTCCATAACTGTTGTGGGTATTGACGGCCAAGCTTCAAAACCCCTGAAAACTCCCCCACTCTTGTGCCAACTTGGACAACACTCTTTTATGCACTCTTTTTTAGTTATCCCCACCTGCCCAGTTCCCTTATCAGGCCGAGATATTTTAACCAAATTGTATGCTTCCCTGACTATTCCTGGATTACAGCCGCATCTCATTGCCGCCCTTCTCCCCAACCCAAAGCCTCCTTCGCATCTTCCTCTCATATCCCCCAACCTTAACCCACAAGTATGGGACATCTCTACTCCTTCCCTGGCAACTGATCACATG
Organism: Homo sapiens; assembly: GCF_000001405.40. Taxonomy (NCBI): domain Eukaryota; kingdom Metazoa; phylum Chordata; class Mammalia; order Primates; family Hominidae; genus Homo; species Homo sapiens. Next base: position 180,417,521 of record NC_000005.10, on the reverse strand, counting down.
CCCATTACCATCCCATTAAAACCTAATCACCCTCACCCCGCTCAACGCCCATATCCCATCCCACAGCATGCTTTAAAAGGATTAAAGCCTGTTACCACTCGCCTGCTACAGCATGGGCTTCTAAAACCTATAAACTCTCCTTACAATTCCCCCATTTTACCTGTCCAAAAACTGGATAAGTCTTACAGATTAGTTCAGGATCTGCGTCCTATCAACCAAATTGTTTTGCCATCCACCCTGTGGTGCCCAACCCGTACACTCTTTTGTCCTCAATCCGTTCCTCCACAATTCACTATTCTGTTCTCCACCTTAAAGATGCTTTTTTCACTATTCCCCTGCACCCCTCGTCCCAGCCTCTCTTTGCTTTCACTTAGACTGACCCTGACACCCATTAGGCTCAGCAAATTACCAAGGCTGTACTGCTGCAAAGCTTCACAGACAGCCCCCATTACTTCAATCAAGCCCAAATTTCTTCCTCATCTGTTACTTATCTCGGCATAATTCTCACAAAAACACACGTGCTTTCCCTGCCAATCGTGTCCGACTGATCTCTCAAACCCCAGCACCTTCTACAAAACAACAACTCCTTTCCTTCCTAGGCATGGTTAGCGTGGTCAGAATTCTTACACAAGAGCCAGGACCACACTCTGTAGCCTTTCTGTCCAAACAACTTGACCTTACTGTTTTAGCCTAGCCCTCATGTCTGCGTGCAGCGGCTGCTGCTGCTTTAATACTTTTAGAGGCCCTCAAAATCACAAACTTTATCAGTCCTCCAGGCCCAAGTTGACTCGTTAGCTGCAGTTGTCCTCCAAAACCGCCGAGGCCTTGACTGACTTACTGCTGAGAAAGGAGGACTCTGCATATTCTTAAATGAGGAGTGTTGTTTTTACCTAAATCAATCTGGCCTGGTGTATGACAACATAAAAAAACTCAAGGATAGAGCCCAAAAACTTGCCAACCAAGCAAGTAATTATGCTGAACCCCCTTGGGCACTCTCTAATTGGATGTCCTGGGTCCTCCCAATTCTTAGTCCTTTAATACCCATTTTTCTCCTCCTTTTATTTGGACCTTGTATCTTCCGTTTAGCTTCTCAATTCATCCAAAACCGTATCCAGGCCATCACCAATCATTCTATACGACAAACGTTTCTTCTAACATCCCCACAATGTCACCCCTTACCACAAGACCTCCCTTCAGCTTAATCTCTCCCACTCTAGGTTCCCACGCCGCCCCTAATCCCGCTCGAAGCAGCCCTGAGAAACATCGCCCATTCTCTCTCCATACCACCCCCCAAAAATTTTCGCCGCTCCAACACTTCAACACTATTTTGTTTTATTTGTCTTATTAATATAAGAAGGCAGGAATGTCAGGCCTCTGAGCCCAGGCCAGGCCATCGCATCCCCTGTGACTTGCAGGTATACATCCAGATGGCCTGAAGTAACTGAAGATCCACAAAAGAAGTAAAAACAGCCTTAACTGATGACATTCCACCATTGTGATTTGTTCCTGCCCCACCCTAACTGATCAATGTACTTTGTAATCTCCCCCACCCTTAAGAAGGTACTTTGTAGTCTCCCCCACCCTTAAGAAGGTTCTTTGTAATTCTCCCCACCCTTGAGAATGTACTTGGTGAGATCCACCCCTGCCCACCAGAGAACAACCCCCTTTGACTGTAATTTTCCATTACCTTCCCAAATCCTATAAAATGGCCCCACCCCTATCTCCCTTCGCTGACTCTCTTTTCGGACTCAGCCCACCTGCACCCAGGTGAAATAAACAGCTTTATTGCTCACACAAAGCCTGTTTGGTGGTCTCTTCACACGGACGTGTATGAAAGTCAGGAGTTCGAGACCAGCCTGGCCAACATGGTGAAACTCCGTCTCTACTAAAAATACAAAAATTAGCTGGGCGTGGTGGCGGGCACCTATAATCTCAGCTACTTGAGAGGCTGAGGCAGGAGAATTGCTGGAATCTAGGAGGCAGAGGTTTCAGTGAGCCGAGATCCCACCATCTCATTCCGGCTCGGGCGAGAACAGTGAGACTCCATCTCAAACAAAAACAAAAACAAAAACAAAAACAGAAATCCGCAGTTATTTGAATGGATGTTTCCATATTTATAGTGTGTCCTTTTTTTCTATTTTAAAGATATATTTCTTTATCATTAGTTTCAGTACATGATATGTGTGGGCATGGATTTCTTTAAGTTTATCCTGTTTGTGTTTTACTTAGCTTCTTACATTTGTAAGTTTATGGGTGTTTTTTTTTTTTGCCAAATTTGGGGAGTTTTCAGTCATTCTTTTTCAAAAATTTTTTCACACTCCTTTTCATTATTTCACCTTTTCTTTTGGAATTATGATGACATGAATATTGGGCCCTTTGATATATCTCACAGGCTTGAGGCTGTGTTCATTTTTTTCTACATTTTTGTTCTCTGTAGTCATCCAGTCATTTTAGTAATTTAGTTTGCTCTGTCTTCAAGTTCAGTAATTTTCTTCCCCAGTCTATTATTATTACTACAGACAGGGTCTTCCTCTGTCACCCAGGCTGAGTACAGTGGCCCAATCATAGCTCACTGCAGCCTTGAACTCCTGGGCTGGAGTGAGCCTCCCACCTCAGCCTCCCAAGTGGCTAGGACTACAGGTGCACACCATCACATCTGGCTAATTTTTAAATTTTTTGTAGACATGAGGTCTTACTATGTTGCCCAGGCTGCTCTCAAATTCCTGGCCTCAAGAGATCCTCCTGCTTCAGTCTCCCAAAGCACTGGGATTATAAGTGTGAGCCACCACACCAGGCCTGGTTATAGTTTTTTTAAGTTTTAAAATTCCCATTGGGTTCTTTTTAATATCTTCTATTTCTCTGCTAAAAATTGCTATCTTTCCACTCCTTTCAAAGGGTTGTTTGCCCTAACTTCCTGGAACATGACTGTGATAGTTGCTTTAAAATCTTCTTCTAATAGCATCTGTGTCATCTCTGGGTTGGCATCTGTTGACTGTCTTTTCCCTTGAGAGTTGTCAAGATTTGCCCAGTTCTTCATATATTGAGCACTCTTGTGTCCTGGACATTTTGAATATTACATTCTGGAACTCTAAGTCTCGTTTAGCTCTAATGGAGAATGTTGAGATTTGTTTGCTTGTTTTAGCAATCAGGTGCTTCCCTGCTTTCTGAGTACTGTGATTCCAATCTCAGTTTACTTTTCAAAGCCTTCGCAGTGGTATTTATATTTGTCCTGCCTGTGCGGCACCCAGTGGCCAATCTGGGACCTGAATGGTGGTCTCCCCTGTAGCTTAGCTCTCAAAGCCATCAATCTGACGTTTAGGGTCAGATGCATACATGCACATGGCCAGCTAAGAGGTGAGTGCAAGAGTTCAGACAAAATTGTATATGTATCAGATGGATTTTTTAAAGCTTCTTCCTCTCTGTCATCTCTCCAACACGTTTTTGCATCCAGTCACCCCACCAACCCCAAAACTTCCTGAGTTTCTTTTCTTTTTTTTTTTTTTTGAGACGGAATCTTGCTCTGTCACCCAGGCTGGAGTGCAATGGCAGGATCTTGCCTTACTGCAACCTCCGCCTCCCGGATTCAAGCGATTCTCCTGCCTCAGCCTCCCAAGTAGCTGGGATTACAGGTGCCTGCCACCACGCTCAGCTAATTTTTTGTATTTTTAGTAGAGACGGGGTTTCACCATGTTGGCCATGGCTGGTCTTGAACTCTTGACCTCAGGCAATCCACCCGCCTCGGCCTCCCAAAGTGCTGGGATTACAGGCATGAGCCACCGTGCCCCGCCCCAAACTTCCTGAGTTTCTAACTCGAATGTTGGGACTTTCGTTTTCCAGCTCTGTCATGTACTTCTTCCCACTGTGTCTGCCTGTGGAGCCAGGCAGTGTGAGAACACAGAAAACAAAAGCTGTGGGGAGTCCCCCTATCCTCTTGGGACCACAGCTGTCTGGTTAGGAAGGGTTTTCCTCCCTCAGAGTTTCAGGTACCTTCCAGAGGCTACTGTTGCTGCAACGCTGTGAGACTGCCTGGAGGGCAGGGTGGAAGAGATGGAAGCAAGTAGATTTCCCCGACTCTCTGTTATACCTAGGGGCCCCCGTCTCCACTCTTTGCATCAAGGGCTTCTCTTAGAGCTCTTTCTGTTCACATCCAGCACTTACTTCTGGGCTTCAGGCAGCCTGTGAGTCTAGGCCAGGCAATACCAAAGGGAAACAAAAGAAGAGAGGAGTCTCAGGCTGGCTCAATGGCATTAGTGATCTGTTTTTCTGCCCAATTCCTATTATTTTTAAAAATAAACTTTTTTTTTTTTTTTTTTTTTTTTTGAGATGGAGTCTCGCTCAGCCGCCCAGGCTGGAGTACAGTGGCGCAATCTCGGCTCACTACAGCCTCCATCTCCGGGATTCAAGCGATTCTCCCATCTCAGCCTCCCGAGTAGCTGGGATTACAGGTGCATGCCACCATCATGCCCAGCTAATTTTTGTATTTTAGTAGCGATGGGGTTTCACCATGTTGGCCGGGCTAATCTTGAACTCCCTGACCTCAGGTGACCCGCCTGCCTCGGCCTCCCAAAGTGCTAGGATTACAGGCAAGAACCACGGCACCCGGCTAAAAATAGACTATTTTTCAAGAGAAGTTTTAGGCTCACAGCAAAATTGAATAGAAAGTACAGAGAATTCCTATATATCCCCTGCACCATTGCCACCCACCCCTCTGCACAGCTCCTCTGCTATTAACATCTTTCTTTTCTTTTTCTTTTTTTTTGTTGTTGTTGAGACGGAGTCTCGCTCTGTCGCCCAGGCTGGAGCACAGTGGTGCCATCTCCGCTCACTGCAAGCTCCACCTCCCGGGTTCACACCATTCTCCTGCCTCAGCCTCCCGAGTAGCTGGGACTACAGGCCCCCGCCACCACGCCCGGCTAATTTTTTGTGTGTTTTTAGTAGAGACGGGGTTTCACTGTGTTAGCCAGGATGGTCTCGATCTCCTGACCTCGTGATCCGCCCGCCTCAGCCTCCCAAAGTGCTGGGATTACAGGCGTGAGCCACCGCGCCCGGCCCCACGTTTTTATTTTTAATGAAGTCCAGCTGACCAATTTCTTCCTTCACAGATCATGCCTTTTGTATTGCATCTGAAAAGTCATCTAGGTTTTTTCCTATGTTATCTTCTAGGAGTTTTATAGTTTTGCATATTATTTAAGACTGTGACCTATTTTGAGTTAATTTCTGTGAAGGATGCAAAGGATGTAAGAATTGTCTCCAGATTATTCACCCCCCACGCCCGCCCCGCCCCGCCCCGCCGGCAACATAGATGCTGATATGGTTTGGCTGTGGCCCCACCCAGATCTCATCTTGAATTGCAGTTCTCATAATCCCTACGTGTTATGGGAGGGACCCGGTAGGAGGTAGTTTAATCATAGGGGTGGTTACTCTCATGCTGTTCTCATGATAATGAGTGAGTTCTCACAAAATCTAATGGTTTTATAAGAAGCCTTTTCCCCTTTTGCTCTGCACTTCCCCTTGCTGCCGTCATGTTAAGAAGGACGTGTTTGCTTCCTCTTCCACCATGATTGTAAGGTTCCTGAGGCCTCTCCAGCCATGCTGAACTGTGAGTCAATTAAATCTCTTTCCTTTATAAATTACCCAGTCTCATGTATGTCTTTATCAGCAGTGTGAGAACGAACTAACATAGATGCCCATCACCATTTGATGAAGGCTATCTTTGCTCCATAGGATTGCCTTTGCTCCTTTGTCAAATATTAGTTGACTATATTTGTGTGGGTCTATTTCTGTCTGGGCTCTCTACTCCCTTCCATTCATCTATTTGTCTGTTCTGTCATCAATACCTTACTGTCTTGATGGCTGTAGCTTTAAAGTAATCCTGAAATCAAGTAGTGTCAGTCCCCCAACTTTATTCTTCTCCTTCAATATTGTGTTGATGGCTCTGGGTCTTCTTGCCTCTCTACATAAACTTTAGAATCAATTCATAGATATTCACAAAATAACCTGCTGGGAATTTCGTTATGATTGCATTTAACCTATAGCTCAAGTTGAGAAGAACTGATGTTATGGTTTAAATGTTTGTGTCCCCACAAAATTCATATATTGATACCTAATCCTCAATGCAATCATACTAAAATGTGTGGCCTTTGGAGGTGATTAAGTCACAAGGGCTCTGCCCTTATGAATGGGATTAATATCCTTATAAAAGAGGTTATAGCTCCTTTTATAAGGCTTGTTTGCCCATTCTGCCATATGAGGGTATATGAGAAGGTGCCATCTGTGAAGAACAGGCCCTCACCAAACACCAAATCTGCTGGTGCCTTGATCTTGGATTTCCCAGTCTCCAGAACTGTCAGCAATAAATTCTGCTATTTATACAATACCCAGTTTAAGGTATTTTGTTATAGTAGCCTGAACAGACTAAGACACCTGACATCTTGACAATATTGAATCTTTCTGTCCATGAACATGGACTATCTCTCCATTTATTTAGTTCTTTTATTTCTTTCCTTAGAGTTTTGCAGTTTTCCTCATATAGATCCTGTACATGTTTTATTAGATTTATATCTAAGTATTACATTCTTTTGGGTGCTAATTAAAATAGTATGTTTTTCCTTTCAAATTCCACTTGTTCATTGCTCATATATAAGGAAGGAATTAACTTTTATATATTTACCTTGTATCCTGAAGCCTTGCTATAATCTCTTATAATTTCCAGGAGGTTTTTTTGTTGTTTGTTCTTTTAGACTTTATACATAGAAAATCATGTCATCTGTGAACAAAGACAGTTTTGTCTTCCTTCCCAATCCATATTCCTTTTAGTTCCTATTATTGTCTTATTGGATTAACAAGAACTTCCAGTATGATATTGAAAAGAAAAGGTGAGGGGACATCTTTGCCTTGTTCCCAATTTTTTTTTTTTTTAGACACAGTCTCACTTTGTTACCCAGGCAGCAGTGCAGTGGCGTGAACTCAGCTCACTGCAACCTCCGCCTCCTGGGTTCAAATGATCCTCGTGCCTCAGCCTCCTGAGTAGCTGGGATTACAGGTGTGCACCACCTCGCCTGGCTAATTTTTGTTTTTTTAGTAGAGACGGGTTTTCCTCATGTTGGCCAGGCTGGTCTCAAACTCCTGGCTTCAGGTGATCCACCCACCTTGGCTTCCCAAACTATTGGGGTTATAGGCATAAGCCACGTGCCCAGCCCTTGTTCCTGATCTTAATGGGAAAACTTGTAGCTTCTTTCCATAAGGATGATGTTAGCTGCAGGTTTTTGGTAGATGTTCTTCATCAAGTTGAGGAAGATGCTTTTTATCGCAGTTACTAAGATGACCATATGATTTTTCTTCTTTTGTCTGTTGATGTAATGAGTTACATTACATTAATTGGTTTTTGAATATTCAATTAGTCTCACATACTTGGTCAGTGTTTATAATTGTTTTTACAGATTGTAGGATTCTATTTGCTAGTATTTTGTTGAGGATTTTTTCATACATGTTTATGAGAGATATTGGTCTGCCATTTTATTTTCTTATAATGCCTTTGTCTGCTTTTGGGATTAGGGTAATACTGGCCTCACAGAGTGAGTTCAGAAGTATTCCCTCTGCTTCTAACTTCTGGAAGAGATTGGAGAGAATTTTAATTTCTTCTCTAAATGTTTGGTAGAATTCACCATCTAGCACAGTCCTTTCTTTTATTTTTTTCTTTATTTTTGAGTCAGAGTCTTGTTCTGTCGCCCAGGCTGGAGTACAGTGATGCAATCTTGGCTCACTGCAATCTCCGCCTCCCGGGTTTGAGGGTGAATCAATTTCTTTAACTGATATAGGAGTATTCAGATAGTCTATTTTTTCTTGTGTAAGTTTTGGCAGATTGTGTCTTTCAAGGAATTGGTCCATGTCATCTAGGTTATTTGTGGGCATAGAATTGTTTATAGTATTCCTGTATTATCCTTTTAATGTCTATGGGGCCTATAGTGATGTCCCTCTTTCATTTCTGGAGTGCAACGGTGTGATCTCAGCTCGCTGCAACTTCCGCCTCCCAGGTTCAAGCCATTCTCCTGCCTCAGCCTCCCGAATAGCTGGGATTAACAGGCGCATGCCACCACATGCAGCTAATTTTTGTATTTTTTGTAGAGACAGGGTTTCACCATGTTGGCCTGGCTAGTCTCAAACTCCTGACCTCAGGTGAACCCCCAACCTAGGCCTCCTAAAATGCTGGGATTACAGGTGTGAGCAAGCATGCCCAGCCACTCTTTCATTTCTAATATTAGTAATTTGTGTCTTTTTTCTTTTTTCCTTAATAGCATGGCAAGATACGAATAAATTTTACTGATCTCCTCAAAGAACCAGCTCATTTTCTCTACTGATTTTCTGTTTTCTTTTTTCTTGTTTTTTTTTTTTTTTTTTTTTTTTTTTTTGAGACGAGGCCTGGCTCTGTCATGCAGGCTGGAGTGCGGTGGCGTGATCTTGGTTCACTGCAACCTTTGCTTCCCAGGTGCAAAGCATCCTCCCACCTCAGCTTCCTGAGCAGCTGGGACTATAGGCACACACCAACATGACAGGCTAATTTTTGTATTTTTGGTAGAGACGAGGTTTTGCCATGTTTCCTAGGCTGGTCTCAAACTTCTGAGCTCAAGCCATCCTCCTGACTTAGCCTCCCAAAGTGCTGGGATGAGCCACCATACCTGGCAGATTTCTTGTTTTCAGTTTCATCGATTTCTGCTCTAATTCTTATTATTTCTTTTCTTTTGTTTACCTTGAACTTCATTTGTGCCTCTTTTTCTATTTTCCTGTGGTAGAAGCTTAGATTATTGATTTCATACCTTTCTTCTTTCCTAACATTTGCATAGAATGCCATAAATTTCCCTCTAAGTACTGCTTTCACTGCATCCTACAAGTGTTAAGTTGTATATTTTAGTTTCATTTAGCTCAAAATATTCCTAAATTTCTCTTGAGATTCCTATTTTGACCCATGTATTATTTAGAAGTGAGTTAATCTCCATATATTCTGGGATTTTCTGGCTATCTGTTATTGGTTTCTAGTTTAATTACATCGTGGGCCGGGCATGGTGGCTCACACCTGTAATCCCAGCACTTTGGGAGGTTGAGGTGGGGGGAATCACAAGGTCAAGAGATGGAGACCATCTGGCCAACATGGTGAAACCCCGTCTCTAATAAAAATACAAAAATTAGCCAGGCGTGGTGGTGTGTGCCTGTAATCCCAGCTACTCGGGAGGCTGAGGCAGGATAATGGCTTGAACCCAGGAGGCAGAGGTTGCAGTGAGCCGAGATCACACCACTGCACTCCAGCCTGGGCGACAGAGCGAGACCCCGTCTCAAAAAAAAAAAAAAAAAAAAAATTACACTGTGGTCCGGGAGCATACATTGCATGATTTCTATTCTTTTAAGTGTGTTAAGGTATGTTTTATGGCCCAAAATATAGTCTATTTAATGAATGTTCCACGTGAACTTGGGAAGAATATTCTGCTATTGTTGGTTAAAGTTGTCTATAGATGTTAATTATATACAGTTGTTTGATGGTGCTGTTGAGTTCAACTATGTCCTTAATCATTTTCTGCCTGCTAGATCTATTTCTGATAGAGGGGTGATGAAGTCTCCAGCTACAATAGTAGTTTTTTGTATGCATTGTTGTTACACATTAAGGGTTGTTGTGTCTTCTGAACTGGCGTCATTACCATTATAGAATGGCCCCATTTATCCCTGAGAGTTTTTTTTGCTCTGGAGTTTGCTCTGTCTGAAGTTAGTATAGCCGCTCCACGTTTCTCCTCCACCCAGCTTTATTGACGTATAATTGACAAATAAAGATTGTATGCACTTAAAACATACTGTGTAAGATTTGATATATGTATGCATTGCAAAATGATTACCATAATCAAGTTAATTAACACATCTATCACCTCACATAGTTACTATTTTGTGAGTGTTTGTGTGTGTGTCAAGAACACTTAAGACCTACTCTTTTAGCAAATTTCAAGTATACAATACAGTATTATTAACTATAGCTATTATGTTGTACCTTAGAGTCTCAGAACTTACTCATCTTATGACTGGAAGTTTATGCCCTTGATATTTTCCCCACTTACCCTGCTCCCAACCCCTGGCAACCACTGTTCTACTCTCTGCTTCTCTGAGTTTGACTTTTTAAGATTCCACATATGGGTGAAATCATGCAATATTTGTCTTTTTTTTTTTCTTTCTTTCTCTCTCTCTCTCTCTTTTTTTTTTTTTTTTTTGAGATGGAGTCTTGCTCTGTTGCCAGGCTGGAGTGCAATGGCGTGATCTCGGCTCACTGCAACCTCTGCCTCCTGGGTTCAAGCCATTATCCTGCCTCAGCCTTCCAAGTAGCTGAGACTACAGGTGCATGCCACTGCACCCAGCTAATTTTTGTATTTTTACTAGAGACGGGGTTTCACCATGTTGGCCAGGCTGGTCTCAATCTCTTGACCTTGTGATCCGCCCGCCTCGGCCTCCCAAAGTGCTGGGATTACAGGCGTTAGCCACCATGCCCGGCCGCAATATTTGTCTTTCTGTGTCTGGCTTATTTCACTTAGCACAATGTCCTCCAGGTTCATTCATGTTGTTACAAATCACAGGATTTCTTTCCTCTTTATGGCTGATTAATATTCCACTGTATGTGTGTATATGTGTGTATGTGCCATATTTTCTTTATAGAATTCATATATTTCACATTCATCCATCCATTAGTGGCACTTAGATTGTTTCTGTATCTCGGCTTTTGCGAATAATGCTGCAATGAGCATGGCAGTGTAGATATCTCTTCAAGATACTGACATCATGTACTTTGGATATATATCTAGAAATGGGATTGCTGGGTCATATAATAGCCCTATTTAAAATTTTTTAAGTCCATACTGTTTTCTGATGGTTACACTCATTTGCATTCCCATCAACGATGTACAAGGGCTCCCTTTTCTCCACACCGCTACTCATGATCACTGTCACCACTCCATGCCAACTACTAGTATTTCCTATCTTCTTTCTTTTTTCAGTCTCTAAGATAAGAACGCATTTGATAACAGCACCTAGCTTTCTTTTGATTAGTTTGCATGGTATATTTTTCTCCATCTCGTTAAGTTTAATCTACATGTGTCTACATATTTAAATCGGATTTATTGTAGACAACATATAGTTCGGTCTGTTTCTTGATCCACTCTGACAATCTCTGTCTTTTAATCGGTATAGTTAGACCATTGATGTTTAAAGTAATTATATAATTGAATTAATATCCACCACATTTGTTACTGTTTTCTATTAATGGCTCGTGTTATTTGTTCCTCTTTTCTTCTTCTACTCTTTTTCTGCCGTTTGTGTTTTTTACTGAGCATTTTACATGATCCCATTTTTCCTTCTTTCTTAGTGTATCAATTATACTTTTTTGTTTGTTTGTTTGTTTGTTTTTTGACAGGGTCTTACTCTGTCACCCAGGCTGGTGTGCAGTGGCCTGATCATGGCTCACTGCAGCCTCGACCTCCTGGGCTCCAGCAATCCTCCTACCTCAGCCTCCTGAGTAGCAGAGACCACAGGTGTGGGCCACCATGCCAGGCTAATTTTCGTATTTTTGGTAGAGATGAGGTTATGCCATGTTGCCCAGGCTGATCTCGAACTCCTGAGCTCAAGCAATCCACCTGCCTCGGCCTCCCAAAGTTCTGGGATTACAGGCGTGAGCCACCACGCCCAGCCTACTCAATTATACTTTTTCAAAAACTTTGTTTTAGTGGTCATCCTAGAGCTTGCAATACACATTTACAACTCGTCCAAATTCACTTTCAGAATAACTCTATACCATTTCACAGGTAGTGCAAGTACCTTATAATAACAAAATATTCCTAATTCCTCCCTCCTGAGTCTTGTATCATTGCTGTAATTTTTCATTTATACATATGCTATAATCGTTGAATACATTGTTGCTGGGATTATCTGAACAGTTATCTGTTAGATCAATTAAGAATAAGAAAAATAAAAGTGTTTCTTTTACCCTCACTTATTTCTTCTATATTACCCTTCCCTTTTTATGTAGATCTGATTTTATCTTCTCTCTGAAAAACTTCTTTAACATTTCTTGCAAGGTAGGTCTACTGTTGCCAAACTGTCAATTTGTGTTTGTCTGAGAAAGTCTTTCTCCTTTACTTTTGATGGTTTCACAGAATATGGAATTATAAGTTGGGGAATTGTAAGTTGGTGGGTTTTTTTCCCTTAACACTTAAAATATTTCACTTCACCCTTTTTGCTTTCATGGTTTCTGAGAAGTCAGATGTAATTCTTATCTTTGCTTCTTGGGTAGATAAGATGTTTTCCCCCTCTGGTTTCTTTCAAGATTGTGTTGTTATCTTTGATTTCTGCAGTTTGAATATGATATGCTGAGGGGTCATCTTTTTGGTTTTGGAGGGATTTATCCCGATTGCTGTTCCCTGAGTTTCCTTGCCTGTGGTTTGGTGCCTGACATTAATGGGGGAAAATGCTCAGTTATGATTGCTTCAAATATTTCTTTTGTTTCTTTATTTCTTCCCTTTCTGGTGTTCCCTTTATGCATATGTTACAACTTTTGTAGTTATTTCACAGTTCTTGGATATTATGTTCCTTTTTTTTTTTTTTTTTTAGACAAGTCTCGGAGTCTCGCTCTGTTGCCCAGGCTGGAATGCAGTGGCGCAATCTCGGCTCACTGCAACCTCCACCTCCTGGGTTCAAGTGATTCTCCTGCCTCAGCATCCTGAGTAGCTGGGACTACAGGCGTGCACCACCACGCCCGGCTAATTTTTGTATTTTTGGTAGAAATGGGGTTTCACTATGTTGGCCAGGATGGTCTCGATCTCTTGACCTTGTGATCCACCTGCCTCAGCCTCCCAAAGTGCTGGGATTACAGGCATGAGCCACCGCACCTGGCCCCATTTTGTGTGTGTGTGCGTGTGTTCTCTTTTCTCCTTGCATTTATGTTTGGGAAGTTTTGATTGACGTATCTACAAGCTCAGATATTTTTTTCCCTCATTATGTGTAATCTACTAATGGTCCCACCAAAGGCGTTCCTCATTCCCTTTACAGTAGTTTCCATCTCTAACGTTCCTTTTATTCTTCATTAGAATTTCCATCTTTCTGTTTACATTGCCCATCTCTTCTTGCGTGCAGTCTACTTTTCCCATTAGAGTTCTCAGCAATTTTTTTTTTTTTTTTGAGACAGAATTTTGCCCTGTCACCCAGGCTGGAGTGCAGTGGCACGATCTCGGCTCACTGCAACCTCTGCCTCCCGGGTTCAAGCGATTCTCGTGCCCCAGCCTCCTGAGTAGCTCGGATTACAGGCGTGCGCCACCACACCTAGCTAAATGTTTTGCATGTTTAGTAGAGACAGGGTTTTGCCATGTTGGTCAGGCTTGTCTCAAACTCCTGACCTCAGGTGATCCACCCCCCATCTTGGCCTCCCAAAGTGCTGGGATTACAGGTGTGAGCCACTGTTCCTGGCCAAGAGCTCTTAGCATTTAATCATAATTGTTTAAAATTCACAGTCATCATTTCAACATCCCTGCCACCTCTGAGTGTGGGTCTGACACTTGGTCTATCTCTTCAAACCATTTTTTGCCTTTTAGTATATGCCTTCCCTAAGGGAAGGGGGAGAGCACTACATCAAGGGAGCACCCCATGGGACAAAAGAATCCGAACAGCAGCCCTTGAGCCCCAGATCTTCCCTCTGACATCGTCTACCCAAATGAGAAGGAGTTAGAAATGTAATTCTGGGCCGGGCGCAGTGGCTCGCGCCTGTAATCCCAGCACTTTGGGAGGCCGAGGCAGGTGGATCACGAGGTCAGGAGATCGAGACCATCCTGGCTAACACAGTGAAACCCCGTCTCTACTAAAAAATATTTTAAAAAAAATTAGCCGGGCGTGGCATCCTGGGGGACAGAGCGGGACTCCGTCTCCAAAAAAAAAAAAAAAAAAAAAAGAAATGTAATTCTGGTAATATGACAAAGCAAGTTTCTTTAACACCCCTAAAAGATCACACCAGCTCACGAGCAATGGATCCAAACCAAGAAGAAATATCTGAAGAAATCATTAAACACTCATAAAATAACACTTAGGAGTGGTGAACCCACATTCAGTGGTCAGAAAAATTTCTAAGACCTAAGTTGCAGACATTTGGACAGATGGAGAGTTCCCATGAATTACTCTTAGAGGGAAAAGCCAGCACCCAAATGGTGTGAACATTCCCATCCCAGCCTTGGACATCTTATCAGCTCAGGCAGAAGGAAGAGAACCAGCACAGACACTGGTCCCTACTCAACAAAGCAATGGGGACTTGAGGCTTTATTTTACTTTTCATTTTATATTGCCTAAATATTCCATTAACATAGAAATAGGAAAATTGAATACCTTAGTCATTGCCATGGGCTCTGACAAAGGGTTCCATACCCCCACGTCATTTGTTGGCCCTGGGGACACATATATTGGCTGAGTGGTAGCTTCCAAAAAGATATGTCCATGTCCTAATCCCTGAGACCTGTGAATGTTCTTATTTAGAAAAAGGGTCTTTGCAGGCCGGGCATGGTGGCTCACGCCTGTAATCCCAACGCTCTGGGAGGCCGAGGCAGGCGGATCACTTGAGGTCAAGAGTTCAAGACAAGCCTTGCCAATGTGGAGAAGCCCCATCTCTACTAAAAATACAGAAATTAGCCGGGCGTGGTGGCGGGCACTTGTAATCCCAGCTATGCGGGAGGCTGAGGCAGGAGAATCGCTTGAACCCCAGACGCAGGGTTTGCAGTGAGCTGAGATCGTATCACTGCACTCCTGCCTGGGTGACAAGTGCGAAACTCCATCTCAAAAAATAAAAATAAAAAAATAAAAAAAGGGTCTTTGCAGATGTAATTAAGTTAAGGATCATGAAATGAGGAGGTCATCCTGGATTGTCCAGGTCGGCCCTAAATCCAATAATAAGCATCCTTATAAGACACATATAAGGGAATACACACGTGGAGGAGAAGGGGGAGTGAAGACCCAGGCAGATACTGGAGTGGTGTGACCACAAGCCAAGGAAACCACAGCCACCAAAAGTTAGAAGAGGCAAAGAATGGGCCAGATGTGGTGGCTCACGCCTGTAATCCCAACACTCTGGGAAGCCGAGGTGGGTCTGAAGTTCAAGATCAGCCTGGCCGACATGGTGAAACCCCGTCTCTACTAAAAATACAAAAATTAGGCGAACATGGTGGCACGTGTCTGTATTCCCAGCTACTCAGGAGGCTGAGGCAGGAGAATCACGTGAACCCAGGAGATGGAGGTTGCAGTAAGCTGAGATTGTGCCACTGTACTCCAGCCTGGGCAACAGAGTGAGACTCCATCTCAAAAAAAAAGAAAAAAAAGAAGAGGCAAAGAACGGATTATTCTCTAGAACCTTGAGGCACCTTGCTGAAGCTCATTGGTTTTGGACTTGTGGACTTCAGAATTGAGAGAACAAATGTCTGTTGTTTTAAGCCACTAAGTTTGTGGCAGTTTGTGAAAGCAACAACAGGAAGCTAATATAGCTTCAGAGGCAGGATCGCTGGTAGGGCATCCTGTCCAGGCCAGCTCGGTCCAGAAGTCAGACCGCAGACAGACTGATGAAAAGTCGTTTCCATCTGAGGTGGGAGGGCAGAAGTGTAAAGACAGGGGCCTTAGCAGGAACCAAGACCTCAACCAAGGAGGAGCACAGTGTCCTTTGAGCAGAGACTCTTGGGAGACCTGCGTAGCTGTGCTGTGGAAGCCTCTCTGTTGTGCGTGTTACTCAGTGTTACATCCTTTGGCAAATTTGTGCATCAGTCAGGATAAGCGAAGCCATGCTTCAATAACAGAGAACCCTCAACTCTTAATGAGGTATAGCAGCAAAGCTTGACTTCTTCCTCATGTCACATGTTTACGATAGGTTATCCATGGCTCCTGCTCCATGTCTCATTTCTCCAGGACTCAGGCTAAAAAAGCAGCCACCATTTCAACAGTCATTTCAATCGTCATCATGGCAGGGGGAAACCGAGAGCTTTGGCAGATCTTGCATAAGCAATTAAATGCTTCAGCTCATTTGTCTGACTCATTAGTCGTCCAACCCCACCCAAACACGGCGGCTGGGAAGTGTGAGCCTATCATGTGCTCAGAGGATGAAGAGCTAAAAATATTTTGTAAGGCAGGGTACCATAGCTCACACCTATAATGTCAGCACTTTGGGAGGCCGAGGTGGGAGGATTGCTTGAGCCCAGGAGTTTGAGACCAGCCTGGGCAACATGGCCAAACCCCATATCTACAAAAAATATAAAAATTAGCCAGGAGTGGTGGTGCACGCCTGTGGTGCCGGCTACTTTTGGGAGGTTAAAGCAGGAGAATCACCTGAGCCCAGGAGTTCCAGGCTGTAGTGAGCCATTATTGTGCCACTGGACTCCAGCCTGGGCAACAGAGTGAGACCCTGTATATACATATTTTGTAAACAGCTGAATGATAGCACACTCTCTGTGAATCTGATGCCCTAGGTCCCACTGATCTTTCCATGATCACTGCCCGGCACAGGCATTGCTGACGTTATATTCAGCTACTGTTGAGCAGCAAGAAGGAAGGAAGGAAGAGAGGGAGGAATGCAGGGAGGGAGAAAAAAGTTTTTGACATGTAAAAAGTGTTGGAGATGGTTTTCCAAAGGAGGACTGAAAATGGAACACAGTGGAAGCTCCATAAACATGCGCTGAACACAACTGAATTGACTTGCATTTGTCTCCTAATTTTGACTTGTTTTTTGTCGTGCCTGCAAAGCCTGGGGTCAGGTGTGCGGTTGGTGCTCGTGGAGCCGACCTGAGCAGTCAGAACACAGGGTTGGCCTCTGAGTGCCCACAGACGAGCCTGGGTATCAGGTCAAACCTCGGTGCTAGGTTGGGTGCCAGGGCTGCGCTTCCCTCCCCTGCCCTCCCCTGCCCTTGGTAAAGGTACAGGCACCATTGCAGCTGAATCCCGGTGAGGCAGGGCATGCCTAGTCCTGTACACCATTGCATTCACTTGCTCTGTTCTGGAAGGTTCTGTCTGAGCCAGTATCTACATCCTGCCTCTAACCAGTCCCTCTGGATGACACAAGGCCTATGACCTTGCTTTTGATACGGTTTTTATCCTTGAATTAGATTTGACTTGTTGCATGCAAGTCTCAAAACGGTTTACAAGAAAGAATGCAGATGGTTCCAGGTGTGGTTGGATCCAGGGGTCTAAAGCCAGGCTCTGCTTCTCGATTTGGCTTTCTTCTGTGTTAGCCTCATCCTCAGACTGGCTCCTCCCCACTTGGAAGCTGTGACCTGTGAGTCCAGGCCACTGCCAGGAGCATAGAAAGGGTTCAGTAAATTCTCATATCATAAATGAAATACATGTACAGTAAATGACCGGCCCCTGGCACTCCAGGTTTATATCCTAATGGCTTAGCAACTTCAGGGAAAAGAGAGACGCTTTCCAAACCCAAGTCCTTAGGGCCCCACTCTAATTAGTCTGGCTTGGGTTTGGGTCGTATATTTGTCAGCGTGGGCTAGACTTTGCTATGGCAACACATAAATCCTGAGAGTTCAGTGACTTAACATTATAAAATGTTACCGCTCACGTCATAGTCCGATGTCGGGGGGATGGGAGCCCTCCAAGTAGTCACTAACATGTCTGGGCTCCTCCCATTTTGTGACCCTAACATCTTCAGTGCCAGGTCTCAAGGTTATCCCAGAAAGGCAAAGGAGACAATGTCACACCTGGGAGATATCGCGAGCTGCAGGCCGGAAAGCGGCATGAGTCACTTCTGCTCATATTCCATGGGCCAGAGCTGGCTCAGGGGGAGAGTCATGTGGCTTAGGAAACCCCTCGTGTTGTATCTTGCTGTAGGCCGCGTGGCGCTCCCTGAGCTGATCACTGAGACCAGGAGGTCCTTGCTCTTATTGACCAGGCCTGGGCTTCATGCTCACCCCTGAAGTCAGAGCGTGGCTCAGCCCCATGAGACTGCATGAGCTGCCTGTGGGGGAAGGCTGCTCCCCTGCGGGAAAATCAGGGCGCCTTTCCCAGAGAGGGGAATGGCTGCTGGGTGAGCAGAAATAACACTGACCACTAGTCCCCAGGTGACACTTCCGGCCTCCCCCTTAGCCCCACCAGGGCCAGCAGACACACAGTGAGCACCTCTGCAGGGTCAGGCTGGCAAAACGGCCCAGAGCAACTTTGGCTTTATTTAAATTATTCCCAAGTAACGTCCAGACGCCAGTATCCATCAAAATCTAATTTAGTGAGAATATTCAAGAATTGTTTTCATAACACAGACTCTGGACACATCCAAGACTTGCCATAATGTGCTCGAGACCCTTAAAGGAATATGTATTTTCACAGCTTACAGAAGCCAATGATAAAACTCATGCACAGGCCGGGCGCGGTTTTTGTTTTACACTTTGGGAGGCCGTGGCAAGCGGATCACCTGAGGTCAGGAGTTCGAGACCAGCCTGGCCAATATGGTGAAACCCCCGTCTCTACCAAAAATACAAAAATTAGCCGGGAGTGGTGGCGGATGCCTGTAATCCCAGCTACGCGGGAGGCTGAGGCAGGAGAATCGCTTGAACTCGGGAGGCGGCGGTTGCAGTGAGCCGAGATTGTGCCACTGCACTCCAGCCTGGGCGACAAGAAAAAAAAACAATGAGCAAAGGACATTTTTCCAAAGAAGATATGCAGGTGGTGAACAACCACATGACAAGACGCTCGTCAGCATCACTACTCACTGGGGAACGTGTGTTAGTCTATTTTGCATTTCCGTCAAGAAGTCACTGACGCCGGGTAATTTAGAAAGAAAAGAAGTTCATGTGCCTCACAGTTCTGCAGGCTGTACAGGAAGCATGGCAGTGGCATCTGCCGCTGGTGAGGCCTCAGGAAGCTTACAATTCTGGTGGAAAAGTAAGGCAACAGTGTGTCACATGCGAGAGAGGAAGCGAGAGTGAGAGGGAGGCAATGCCAGGCTCTTTATTTTATTGTATCTTATTGAGGTGAAGTTCCACTCTTTTTGCCCAGGCTGGAGTGCAGTGGCACAATCCTGGTTCACTGCAACGTCCACCTCCCAAGTTCAAGTGATTCATTCTCCTGCCTCAGCTTCCCAAGTAGCTGGGATTACAGGTGCCTGCCACCACGCCCAGCTAATTTTTTTTTATTATTTTTTTTTATTTTCAGTAGAGATGGGGTTTCACCATGTTGACCAGGCTGGTCTCAAACTCCTGACCTCAGGTGATCCACCCACCTCGGCCTCACAAACTGCGGGGATTACAGGCGTGAGCCACTGCACCTGGGCTCTTTTAAACAACCAGATCTCGTATGAACTCACGGAGTGAGAGCTCACTCATTACCTTGAGGACAGCACCATGCCATCCATGAGGGATCCGTCCCCATGATCCAAACACCTCTCCCTAGACCCCTTCTCCAACACTGGAGGTCACATTTCAACATGAGATTTGGAGAGGACAAAGCATTCGAACCATATCAAAATGCAAATCAAAACCACAATAAGACACCACCTCATATCCACTAGGGTGGCACCAGCCATAGCAAAGCAAATACCGAGAGCTGGTGAGGACATAGGGCAACCGGAACCATGGGCACTGTTGGTGGAAGGTGCAGTGGTGCAGCCACCGTGTGGTTTTGATTCCTCAAAAAACTAAAAATAGAATCACCATATGATTCAGAAACGCCACTTCTGGGAATATACCAAAAGCATTAAAAGCAGGATCCAAAAGAGATACGTGTAAGCCCGCATTCACAGCAGCGTTCTTCACAATAGCCAAAAGGTGGAAGCAGCCCACGTGTCTGTCCACAGGTGAACGAATAAACAAAGGTGGCACAGAGCCACGATCGAGTATCATTCAGCCTTAAACATGAAGGAAATTCGGCCTGGCGCGGGGGCTCACGCCTGTCATCCCAGCACTTTGGGAGGCCGAGGCGGGCGGGCCACGAGGTCAGGAGATCGAGACCATCCCGGCTAACACGGTGAAACCCCGTCTCCACTAAAAATACAAAAAGAAAATCAGCTGGGCGTGCTGGCGGGCGCCTGTAGTCCCAGCTACTCGGGAGGCTGAAGCGGGAGAATGGCGTGAACCCGGGAGGCCGAGCTTGCAGTGAGCCGAGATCGCACCCCTGCACTCCAGCCTGGGCGGCAGAGCGAGACTCCGTCTCAAAATTAAAAACAACAACAACGACAACAAAAGAAAACACAAAAACAGAGCAAGGCAAACAGCCACGGGTGCTGCTTCTGAGATGAGGCTGTGAAGCAGCGGCTGCACCTCCCTGGCAGGCTCCCTCTCTTACCCACCGTTGCCAGCTCGCTTGGATGGAGCCAGCAGCCGTGCTGTGAGCTACCCTACAGAGAGGCCAGTGGGCCGAGAAACTGAGCGTGGCCTGTGGCCAACAACCAGCAAGGAACTGAGCTTCTCAGTGTGACGGCCTGTAAGTGTTGCCAA
Source organism: Homo sapiens (assembly GCF_000001405.40). Lineage (NCBI taxonomy): Eukaryota > Metazoa > Chordata > Mammalia > Primates > Hominidae > Homo > Homo sapiens. The sequence continues at coordinate 180,397,053 of NC_000005.10, read as the reverse complement.
CGACCATGTGAGCGAGCTTGGAAGTAGATCCCTCCCCAGTCGAGCCACCAGGCCTTGGGATCATCTGTGACACAGCAGCAGACAGCTAAGAAGACCTCAGGGAGTATGAAAAGCTTGTGTGTGTTTTTCTGAAATGAAAATACTTTTAAATATTATGTGTTGAGAACATGTGCTCTAGATGAGAGGGGACAAAGTGATCAATCACAAGCCACAATCAACCTGCACGTAGGCTTGCTGTGTTTCCCCTCCTTGGACATGGGATGGCCTACACACTGTTTCAAAACATTTTGCACCGGCATTTAGAACTCGGGAGAATCACATGCACACTGAGATTGCTGGCCTCCCTTGACAAGCTGGAAGCTGGGCAGCTGTAATCCTCATTCCTGTGGGGCAGCTGCCAGTGGAGGTTGGTCGTGCTGTGCTGAATTCGGGCAGGCACTCTCTGTTTGTCGTAAAACACAGTGCTCCGGGCCGGGCGCAGTGGCTCAAGCTTGTAATCCCAGCACTCTGGGAGGCCGAGGCAGGTGCATTACCTGAGGTCAGGAGTTCGAGACCAGCCTGGCCAACGTAGTCAACCCTCTCTCTACTAAAAATACAAAAATTAGCTGGGCATGGTGGCAGATACCTGTAATCCCAGCTACTCAGGAGGCTGAGGCAGGAGAATTGCTTGGACCTGGGAGGTGGAGGTTGCAGTGAGCTGAGATGGCGCCACTGAACTCCAGCCTGGGCGACAGAACAAGACTCCATCTCAAAAAACAAAAAAATCAAAAACAAAACAAAACAAAACAAAACAAAAAAACACTGCTCCTTATTGTGCAGAGGCCAAATGCCAGCTGCATCGTATTGCATTTCCACCATTTCTTATGATAGAGTTAAGAGAATGTTAAGATACAGCAAAACACTGCTGCCAAACCTCCATCAAAGGACAGTGAAGACTGAGACAGTCCAAAGTCCAGACGGAGCCCAGCGGGATGGCTCATCTCTGCTCCATGTGATGTCTGCTGAGGCTGGCATGCCCAGGGTGGTGTCTTCATCTGTTTGGTACTTTGGCTAAGATTGCTCCGATTGCCAGGGGTGGCTCAGCCGCAGTCGTACTTGGGAAGCCTCGGCTCCCACTGTTAGTTGAGTTCTTTGGTTCTCCTCCTCATAGTCTCAGGACGTTTCCCTCTCCAAGTGGCCTTTCTGGGTCATCTTTCCAGCAGAGAGCCGGACTTCTTACATCTTATTTCTGACATGACAGCTCTCGAGGGTGCAAAAGTGGAAACTGCCAGGCCTTCTCAAGGCTTAGGACTGGAACTGGCCCTGTGTCACTTCTGACTCATTCTGTCCGTTAAAGCAAGCGACACAGGCTCAGCGCATATTCTAGAGGAGAGGACTACACGAGGGTGTGAATGTTGGGAGGCATGACTCGCTGGGGACCATCGAGGTTGCAAAATGTGTCCATGCTTCCCAGGAATACTTACAAATATGCTATTGGGGACCATTCTGGAATTTTTCACTTGGAAATGAAAAGAAGGGGGAGAAGCTGACCCCAGAGAACAGGAAAACATGGAGCTACTTGGATTACACACTGAGAAAGTGAAAAACGGACTGGCAGCTGGAAGCTGCCACAGGGGCCATAATGTTTCCAAATGAATATGAACTGCTTTTGCAGAATATCACAATACGTGGGCAAGGCAAGCACACAACCACATCAACTCCAAAGGGTCCCTCTCTGACTCCCCTGGGACACAATTGCTGTTTTTTTGTTTTGTTTTGTTTTGTTTTTTTAGACAGAGTCTTACTGTGTCGCCCAGGCTGGACTGCAGTGTTGCAATCTCGGCTCACTGCAATTTCTGCCTCCCAGTTCAAGCGATTCTTCTGCCTCAGCCTCCCGAGTAGCTGGGATTACAGGATTACAGGCACCCGCCACCATGCCTGGCTAATTTTTGTATAATTAGTAGAGACGGGGGTTCGCCATATTGGCCAGGCTGGTCTCGAACTCCTGACCTTGTGATCCGCCTGCCTTGGCCAAGGCCTCCCAAAGTGCTGGGAATACAGGCGTGAGCCACTGTGCCCGGCCTTTTTTTTTTCTTCTTCTTCTTTTTTTTCTGAGACAGAGTCTCCCTCTGTTGCCCAGGCTGGAGTGCAATGCCGCAATCTCGGCTCACTGCAACCTCCACCTCCTGGGCTCAAGTGATTTTCCTGCCTCAGCCTCCTGAGTAGCTGGGATTTCAGGTGTGTACCATCAATCCTGGCTAATTTTTGTATTTTTAGTAGAGACGGAGTTTCACCATGTTGGCCAGGCTGGTCTCGAACTCCTGACCTCAAGTGATTCACCCGCCTCGGCCTCCCAAAGTGCTGGGATTACAGGCATGAGCCACCTCGCCCAGCCCACGATTGCTTCTTAACCCAATAACAACATTAATCTTTCTTGTTCTTCCCATCTCCTAGGTAAATGTTATGAAGAATCATCAAACTTCCCCTGCTTCCGGATGGCGCCCAATTCAGAACCCACTTACATTCCTGGAAACCCTCCTTCGGCTCACCCAGCATGAGCCCACATCCTAGAGGCCTCTCCCAACTCAGTCCTTCCCGTCTGTGTGCACTCCCCAGTGGCAGCCCAAGCTTAAATGAGGGAATGGTCCTGGTGGTCCTCCGCTGGGGGCGCTGGGGCAACATGTGTTCATACATTCTTTATTCAATGACTTTTACAGTCTGACCCACACTTCTTCCTTTCTTCCCAAGGCTTCAGGCTGCCTCGTCCCAGGGTCCGACTCCATCTCCAGCACTCAGGCCCCCTAGGACTAGCCTAGATACACGGACCTCCTGGGATGGGGAAGCACTGTCTTAGCATTGACCAGAGGGGCAGCTTCTGAAGGCCTGACCTCAGCACATGCAAAGGGAGGAGTTCCCAGTCGGACCTGGCAGCCTTCCGGGTATGCGCCCCTGTCTGAGGAGCACACCTGCTCACTCTCAGGGTAGGCTGGACTGAGGAATTGACCGACCTCACCTGTTGGGTCAAGGTCAGCCTCTTTACTCTGTGTCCCCGGTGAGGGACAGGGCCCAGCCCTGATCAGGGATGTTCTGGTGGGGGGTCAGCTCTGAAGAAGCCATGGGGAAAGAATGCTAAACTCAGGGAAGCAAAGGGCAGAACTGAGGGTGGAGGTCAAAACCCATCCCTGCTCAGAAGAGAGGACAGGACCCATGGGGAAAGCAGGAACAGGCTGAAGCCCCACAGGTCATTCTGGACACCATGGCTGAGGCCACCCCCCGTGCCTGCCATGGGCAGATGCTTTATTCTCTTTCTTTTTCTTTTTTCTTTTTTCTTTTTTTATGCCTCACCTTGCTCTGCCCTGCCCTGCTTTGCTTCTTTTCTTTTTTTTTTTAGATGGAGTCTCGCTCTTGTTGCCCAGGCTGGAGTGCAGTGGCACAATCTCAGCTCGCTGCAACCTCCGGCTCCTGGGTTAAACCGATTCTCCGGAGTAGTGGGGATTACAGGCACCTGCCACCACGTGCAGCAAATTTTTGTATTTTTAGTAGAGACGGGGTTTCACCATCTTGGCCAGGCTGGTCTCGAACTCCTGACCTCATGATCCACCCGCCTCAGACTCCCAAAGTGTTGGGATTACAAGCATGAGCCACCACACCCAGCCTCTTTTCTTTTCTTTCTTTTTGACAGAGTCTCGCTCTTTTTGCCCAGGCTGGAGTGCAATGGCACCATCTTGGCTCAATGTAACCTCCACCTCCCAGGGTCCGACTCCATTTCCAGTGATTCTCCTCTTTCAGCCTCCCAAGTAGCTGGGATTACTGGCATGCACCATCACCCCTGGCTAATTTTTGTATTTTTAGTAGAGATGAGGTTTCACCATGTTGGCCAGGCTGGTCTCAAACTCCTGACCTCATGATCCACTCGCCTCGGCCTCCCAAAGTGTTGGGATTACAGGCATGAGCCACCGCTCCTGGCCTTTTTCTTTCCTTTTTTCTTTTTTTTTTTAGAGACGGAGTTTTGCCGTGTTGGCCAGGCTGGTCTCAAACTCCTGGACTCAGGCAATCCGCCTGCCTTAGCCTCCCAAAGTGCTGGGATTTCAGGCATGAGCCACTGTACCCAGCTGGCAGATGCTTTATAAATGCCTCCACAAGCCTCTGTTTTGGGGGTCTCAAGATCACCCTCGAGTTTGATGTTTCGCTAGAAGAGCTCACATGATTCAGTAGCAGGCTATATTCACGGCTAACCTTTATGACACAAAGGATACAAAGTCAAAGCGACAGTTAAGAGGTATGCCCGGGTGCTGGGAGGCCAAGGCGGGCGGACCACGGTGTCAGGAGATCGACACCATCCTGGCTAACACGGTGAAACCCCGTCTCTACTAAAAAAAAAATACAAAAAATTAGCTGGGTGTGGTGGCGGACACCTGTAGTCCCAGCTACTCCGGAGGCTGAGGCAGGAGAATGGCGTGAACCCGGGAGGCAGAGCTTGCAGTGAGCCGAGATCACGCCACTGCACTCCAGCCTGGGTGACAGAGTGAGACTCCGTCTAAAAAAAAAAAAAAAAAAAAAAGTGACAGGTGCGACTTGAACCTAAGGCCATGAGGGGAGGGCACATAACAGTTAAGAGCACGGACTCGGAGGACAGATAACACTGTTCCTAGTGTTGGTGCTGCTCTGAATCCCAGTGTTGCCATGAGCAATTCCAGCCCATCTGTAAACAAAAATAAAAATAATAAGACTTAGCTCAGAGGACTGTTATTGGAATGCATGAGATAGTTCAGTGAGGCCGGGAGTGGGTGGCTCACGCCTGTAATCCCAGCACTTTGGGAGGCCGAGGCGGGCAGATCACCTGAGGTCAACATGGGGAAACCCCGTCTCTACTAAAAATACAAAAATTAACTAGGCATGGTGGTGGGCGTCTGTAGTCCCAGTTACTCAGGAGGCTGAGGGAGGAGAATCACTTGAACCCGGGAGGCGGAGGTTGCAGTGAGCCGAGATGGCGCCACTGCACTCCAGCCTGGGTGACAGAGCAAGACTCCGTCGAAAAGAAAAGAAAGAAGGAAGGAAGGGAGGGTGCAGCGGAGGTGCCTAGTGCAGTGCATGGAACACTGCGTGTGAGTCACGCGTGCAGATGAGCGATCAGGATTATGGTGATGATGATGTAATAAGGAGAAGGGAGTGAGGAGGTGAAATTGCTCACCAGAACATCTCTTACGCTCCGGTGAAGTGGCAAGATGCGCACCTTCACTCCAAGGGGACTGCCCCAGCTCAACTTGGGGCACCCTGGCCTTCCAGCCCCCCAGAGCCCCTCCTCACTATGTCGGGAACAGCAGACAGGGCCTGGAGAGGTGATCCTGGCAGCCTCCTTAAGACAGGTCCAGGCTGTGGGTCCTGGCTTGTTGGCATGTCAGCTCTGATGGGGTCCACAAGGAAGGGAGGCTGGGGGTTTGGTAAGGGGAAGAGCACCTTGAAGGGCTCAGCCTGTGCATGCAGGGTGTATGGGCCTGGGGCACCCGGGGCCCCCATTGGTCTGTTCTCCTGTGCCCAAGAGGGGAATCAGTTCCCAGCGCCTGCAAACTATTCTAAGGCCCGGCCTGGGCTTTGGAAGCATGTCCCCAGGTGTTTATTGGGGGCAGGACTCCAATGAGGTCCTCTGCATGGCTCACCCAGAAGGGGTGGCAGTTCACTGAGCAGCCAGGTTGGTGGCCACCATCCAGCCCTCACAGGGGCAGCTCGACTCAGGCAGAGGGGGTGGAGGATGTCTACACCTGGCTCTGCCTCCCGTGGGCGGTCACCGTGGGTCTCTGGGCCTCAGTAGCCTCATTTGTAAACTGGGGCAATGTTTCAGTGAAAAGCAGAGGATGCAGATGGCCACTGGAGGCCATGCCAACCCACAGACTTGTGTTAACTGGCCCTCATGGAGCATTTTCACATTTTGAACTGGTTGCTACATGTTAACATCAGAAGGCATTTACCTAATATCTGAATTTCCAGCCTCTCTTTAAAGATGGGGTGGGGCCGGCTCTGTGGTCTGGCCACATGTGACTTGTAGTTCCACGAAGCCACAGGCGGGTGGTGCTGGGCAGCAGCCACCCCTGCAGATAGTCACCTCCCTTCCCAGTTGGCCACAGCCCCAGCGGCTACTGATTCTCCAGCACAGGCCACCACGGTGACTCTCCCACGGGAGTCAGAAGAGCCAGGTCGCACCGAAGCCTCCCCAGCTCCAGTCAAGGCTCCACCAAGTTCCAACCGTGCCCTGATCCTGCACAAGGGAAGTCACCCTCCCACCATCCAGCTGTGGACATGTGCAGGATGGATGGAGGTTGGGAGGGGGTGACTGCAGAGGCCCTGAGTGGGGCCATGCTGCTGGGTCCTCACCTTTCTCCTTCATGCCCAGGTTGGGGATAATGGAGGCCCCAAGGCAACCTGAGCGAGGTTGGCAGCCGCCTCCTGGCCTGGGGTTTGTGGCCAGAGTGGCGAGCACTTGGAAATGACACACGGGGGGCAGGCAGGCCAGGGATGGGCAGGAAGGAGGCTTCCTCACTGTTAGAGCCAGACGGCCTCAGGGACCTCCCTGGATGGGAGGGGTCCCCATCCGAAAGCTGGTGAGGTGGGGCCTCACCTGTCACCCTTGAGCACTGGGGACCCAGGATGTGGAGTGCTCAGCTGCACTGAATCTGTGTGGCTCCTGGGGTCCCTCTGGGAGGAGAAACAGAAGAAGCTCGGGGCAGAGGGGTCAGCGTGGCCAGGGTCCCAGTCCTTTGGCCCTTGAACTTGGCCTTTCCCAGACAGCCCTTCTTGGCATCCCAGCCTGGAATCCCTTTCCTTATCTTTCTTTGGCAAGCCCCTTCAAGACACAGTGGACAAATTTTCCCCTTCCAGAAGCTTCCCTTGACCCACAGGCAGAATAATTCCCTTTCTTCTGAGTGCCCTGTGCCTGGACGTTCCCTGCTATGCTGCTGGCTGGCTGCTCTGTATTGTGCTAAAATATTCACGACCGTGTCCCCACCAGGGATCCCGGAGGCAAGGGCCACCCTCCGTGTCCCCAGCACTTACGCCTAGGCCTGGCACACACAAACGTCGAGTACTTCTCATCCGTGGCTCGCGGGGCAGGGCCGGCATGTCCTCCTTGAGCCGCCCATGTCCCTGTGCTCCTTGCGCAAGCTGCAGGCCCACCCCCAGGAGCGAGGCCCTGTGGCGTCAGCGCCCATGTGCAGCAGGTCCAGGGGACAGGAGGGGTCTGCCTGATCTCAGAGGGGTGTGTGCGGGACGAGCGTGAGGTCATGCTTGTTTACGAGGCTCTGACACAGAACCATCGTTTCCTCCCTCCTGGGCTGCACAGCCGTCCTCCCGGCTCAGACAGCCTCTGACTTACTCACCGGCTTCCCGCACCGTCGCTCTGGACGCCCATTTCAACTGCGACAAGGGGGTCAGAGCTGTTTGTAATTTGCAATCAGGAACGTCAGGGAAGCACTTTGGCCTGAGGCTGAGAGACCCTCCCAGCAGCTGTCCTACAGCCCCACTGCAGCTCAGCATCTCTGCGGGATAGGGACAGACTTGTGGAGAGCCCGCCCGAGGGCGCTCCCAGAAGGAAATAGCCAGAGAGACCGAGTGGGGATGGCCAGCCCTGGTAGCCCTATCCCGCCCTTACTGCTCATGGGCCTCTCAGAGAAGGGCCCATGGTGCCCAGGGAAGGGGGTCACAAGGAATGAGTGCCAGAGGGGCCTCAGAGAGAGGGTGGGAGGGCCGTGAACCTAGACGCAGGGCAGCAGTGGGGGAGAGGGTGCTGGAGAGCGCCCCATGGCCCAGGTGGGGGAAGGGCCAGCTGACAGGTGTCAGCACAGGGATCGGGTGGAGCAAGAGGGCCCTGGAGTTTTCTGATGGAAGTGGGAGGGAGCCCCAATTCTACTCCTTTCCCCTGGGTTCTGCCATGTGAAACCAAGTGGAGTCCTGACTCCTTCAACCTGCTGGAACTAGAGTCTGAGGCCCAGGAGATGGCAGGCAGGCAGCTGGCAGCACGCAGGCACGAGCGCTGTCCATTCTGGTGCACGCACAGCCACTTTGTGGTTCCTGGCAGAAAGTCTGACGGGTCCTCACACCTCAAGAACGAATTACTTTGTCTGCCAGGGTCAGAGACTAGGCCAGGCCATGTTAAAAAAACAAGACATTTACTGCAAAGATAGCATAGGGAATTCTAGCTATTCTCTGGCTCTTGATTTCTTTCTTTTTTCTTTTTTTTTTTTTTTTGAGATGGAGTCTCCCTGTGTCGCACAGGCTGGAGTGTGCAGTGGCACGATCTCGGCTCACTGCAAGCTCCGCCTCCCAGGTTCACGCCATTCTCCTGCCTCAGCCTCTGAGTAGCTGGGACTACAGGCGCCCGCCACCACGCCTGGCTGATTTTTTGTATTTTTTAGTAGAGACGGGGTTTCACCGTGTTAGCCAAGATGGTCTCGATCTGCTGGCCTCGTGATCCGCCCACCTCAGCCTCCCAAAGTGCTGGGATTACAAGAGTGAGCCACTGCACCAGGCCTCTTGATTTATTTCTATTTTTTATTATTTATTTATTTATTTATTTATTTATTTATTTATTTATTTATTTTTTTGAGACAGAGTCTCGCTCTGTCGCCCAGCCTGGAGTGCAGTGGTGCCATCTCGGCTCACTGCAAGCTCTGCCTCCTGGGTTCACGCCATTCTCCTGCCTCAGCCTCCCAAGTAGCTGGGACTACAGGTGCCCGCCACCACGCCCGGCTAATTTTTTGTATTTTTTAGTAGAGACAGGGTTTCACCATGTTAGCCAGGATGGTCTCCATCTCCTGACCTCGTGATCCGCCCGCCTCGGCCTCCCAAAGTGCTGGGATTACAGGCATGAGCCACCGCTCCTGGCCATCTATTTTTTTATTTTTTTGAGATATAGCTTACAAACAGTAAAATGCACAAATCTTCTTCTTTTTTATTTGTTGAGACAGGGTCTGGCTCTAGTTACCCAGGCTGGAGTGCAGTAGTGGCATCTCGGCTCACTGCAACCTCTGTCTCCTGGGCTCAGGCCATCCTCCCACCTCAGCCTCCCAAGTAGCTGCGACTACAGGTGCACGCCACCACGTCTGGCTAATTTTTTGTATTTTTTGTAGAGACAGGGTTTTGGCATGTTTCCCAGGCCGGCCTTGAACTCCTGAGCTCACGCAATCTGCCTGCATTGGCCTCCCAGAGTGCTGGAATTACAGGCATGAGCCACTGCATCTGATCCTGAATAAATCTTAAGTACATTTTAAGGTGGTGAATTTTCTTTTCTTGTCTTGTCTTGTCTTTTTGAGATGGAGTCTCACTCTGCCACCCAGGCTAAAGTGCAGTGGCGCTATCTTGGCTCACTGCAACTTCCGCCTCCTGGGTTCAAGTGATTCTCCTGCCTCAGCCTCCCGAGTAGCTGGGACTACAGGCGCACCCCACCACGCCCAGCTAGATTTTCGTATTTTTCGTAGAGACGGGGTTTCACCATGTTAGCCAGGATGATCTCGATCTCCTGACTTTGTGATCCTCCTGCCTCAGCCTCCCAAAGTGCTGGGATTACAGGCATGAGCCACTGCGCCCAGACAATTCTTGTATATTTAGTAGAGGCAGGGTTTCACCATATTGGCCAGGCTGGTCACCTGACCTTAAGTGATCCGCCTGCCTCAGCCAACCAAAGTGCTGGGATTACAGGTGTGAGCCATCGTGCCTGGCCCACAGGTGGTGAATTTTAATCTATGAGTGTACCCATGTAACTTCAACCTAAATCAATATAAATAACAAGCTCTCCTATACCCCAGACCAGCCAATCCATACCCATATTCCCCCAGAGGCAACTACTATTCTGATTTCTATCATTATACAATAGTCTTGACAGTTCTTGAACTTCATATAAATTGAATCATCCTGTATGAACCTTCTTGCACCACCCACCCCATCTGCACTTACGGTTTCTTTTTTTTTTTTTTTTTGGAGACCGAGTCTCACTCTGTCACCCAGGCTGGAGTGCAGTGGAGCAATCCTGGCTCACTGCAACCTCTGTCTCCGCCTCCCAGGTTCAAACAATTCTCCTGCCTCAGCCTCCCAAGTAGCTGGGATTACAGGTGCACACCACCACGCCCAGCTAATTTTGTATTTTTATTAGAGACGGGGTTTCACCATGTTAGCCAGGCTGGTCTCGAATTCTTGAACTCAGGTGATCCACCCTCCTCAGCCTCCCAAAGTGCTAGGATTACAGGTGTGAGCCACCACGCCCCGCCCTGGTTCATTTCTGTTAGGTAAATGCCTAGAGTAAGATTGCTGGACCACAGAGTAGCTATATGTTTGCAAGAAACTGCAACACTTTTCCAAAAGAGTTGTACTTTTTTTTTTTTTTGAGACAGAGTCTCACTCTGTCACCCAGGCTGGAGTGCAGTGGCACAATCTCAGCTCACTGCAACCTCCACCCTCTGAGTTCAAGCAATTCTCCCACCTCAGTCTCCCGAGTAGCTGGGACTACAGGCGCCCATCACCACACCCGGCTAATTTTTTGTATTTTTTAGTAGAGACGGGGTTTCACCGTGTTAGCCAGGATGGTTTCAATCTCCTGACCTCATGATCCATCCACCTCGGCCTCCCAAAGTGCTGGGATTACAGGCGTGAGCCACCGCGCCCGGCTCAACAACATTTATTTAAGAGACTGTCCTTTTTCCATTGTGTGTTCCTAGCACCTTTGCCCAAAATAATTTGACTGTAAATTTGTTTTGTTTTTTTGAGATGGAGTCTTGCTCTGTTGCCCAGGCTGGAGTGCAGTGGCGCGATCTCAGCTCACTGCAACCTCCACCTCCCGGGTTCCAGTGATTCTCCTGCTTCAGCGTCCTGAGTAGCTGGGACTACAGGTACATGCCACCACGCCCGGCTAATTTTTGTATTTTTAGTAGAGATGGAGTTTCGCCATGTTGGTCAGGCTGGTCTCGAGCTCCTGACCTCTGCCCACCTTGGCCTCCCAAAGTGCTGGGATTACAGGCGTGAGCCACCACGCCTGGCCAGTCACTGATGTTTTATAGTTTTTAGTATACATGCCTTTTGCCATTTGGGTTAAATTTACAGCCAAGTATTTAAACTTTTATTGATATTCCACGAGATTTTTAAAAATTTCTGCAGATACTTTATTGATATATAGAAACACTACTGATTTTTCTAAGTTGATTTTGTACCTGCAGCTTTGCTGAATTTGTGCCTCTGTTCTAACAGTTTTCTGGCCTAATTTTTCTGGCTGGGAATTCCACTACCAGGTTGAAAAGAAATGATGAGAGTGAGCACGCTTTTTTTTTTCTTTTTGTACTTGATTTTAGAAAGAAAAAAAAAAGCTTTAAGTTTTTTGTAGAGAATGTTTGCTAAGGGTTTGTTATATATGACCTTTTTGTGTTGAGATACATTTCCTCTATACTTAATTTGTTAAGCATTTTCTTCCAATCATGTTCTTCCCCACTTCCCTCTTATTTCCTCTCCTTAACTCCCACTCTTTCCCCACCGCCTTTTCCCCACCATGTTCTCCCAGAATCTTCTCCCCACAATGTCCCCTCTCCACTCCCTCTCCCCAAACTCTTCTCAGCCTCTTCTTTCTCTTCCCTCCACCGTCTTTTTCTTCCCTTCCCACGTCCTTCCCCTTCTCCCAACTCTGTTCTGCCCAACAACTTCTCTCCCCCCCGACCATCTTCTCCCCATCTCCACCGTCTTCTTCCCCACAGCCTTCTCCCCGCCCCTCACCCCACCTGCCCTTCCCCACCGCCTTCTCTCCACTCCGTCTCCCCAGCGTTGTCCTCCCAAGGTCATCTTTCCACCTCCCCGTAGTCTTCACCACCTTCTTCCCCACCTTCCCCTCTCTTTCTCCCTCCACCGTCTTCTTCCCCCTATCTTCTCCACCCCATCTCTCCACCATCTTTCCCCCGACTCCCTCACCCGGTCCAACTTTCTTCTTCCCCATCATCTTCTTCCCTACCGCGTTCTCCCCACTCCCTCTTCCCACCCTCCCCCCATCCTCTTCTTCCCGACCTTCTTCTTCTGGACCTCTTCTCCCCCACCGTCCTCCCTCCACTCTTTTTTGTGGGGGCGGGGGGAGGGGACAGAGTCTCACTCTGTCTCCAGGTCCGAGTGCAGTGGCGCGATCTCGGCTCACTGCAACCTCCGCCCCGAGTTCAAGCAATTCTCCCGAGTAGCTGGGACTACAGGCGCCCGCCACCATGCCCAGCTAATTTTTTATATTTTTTAGTAGAGACAGGGGTTTCACCGTGTTAGCCAGGATGGTCTCCATCTCCTGACCTTGTGGTCCGCCTGCCTCGGCCTCCCAAAGTGCTGGGATTACCTGTGTGAGCCACTGCGCCCAGCCCCTCCACTCTTTTCTTTTCTTTTTTGACAGAGTTTCGCTCTTGTTGCCCAAGCTGGAATGCAATGGCATGGTCTTGGCTCACTGCAACCTCTGCCTCCCAGGTTCAAGCGATTCTCATGCCTCAGCCTCTGTAGTAGTAGGGATTACAGGAGCCTGCCACCACGCCTGGCTAATTTTTGTATTTTTAGTAGAGATGGGATTTCACCATGTTGGTCAGGCTGATCTCGAACTCGTGACCTCAGGTGATCCACCCGCCTTGGTCTCCCAAAATGCTGGGATTACAGGCGTGAGCCACCGCTTCCGATCTATTTTTTATTTTCCTATATATTTTTTGAGACCAGGTCTCGCTCTGTGGCCCAGGCTGGAGTACAGAAGCACAATCTTGGCTCACAGCAGCTTCAACTTCCCAGTTCGAGCAATCCTCCCGCCTCTCCCTCTGGAATAGCTGGGACTACAGGCGCGCACCACCACGCCCGACTAACTTTTGTATTTTTTTGTAGAGAGGGGATCTAGCCATGTTGCCCAGGCTGGTCTCGAACTCCTGGGCTTAAGCGATCCGCCACCTTGGCCTCTTAAAGTGCTGGGATTACAGGTGTGAGCCACCTGGCCCAGTGACTTCTTATTTTTGGAACAAGCCCTGTTTGGTCATGATGTTTGTGTGTGTGTAATTTTTTTTTTGTATATTACTGGCTTTAATTTTCTAATAACTTGCCATAAATTAAATGCAATCATAAAAATACAAACAAAATGAAAGTATTAAATTCTAATTACATGCCATTGCCTTAGAAAGACAGTATGTATGGGGGTTAGATCACAGCTTGGCTTGCATATGGAGGTGGCCAATTAGTTATACGTGGAAGTCTGTGTGGGCCTTTTGAGAAAGCCTGCTCTTTTGTATTTTTGCTTGCCAGGCTGGAGTGCAGTGGTGCCATCTCAGCTCACTGCAACCTCTGCCTCCCCGGTTCAAGCAATCCTCTTGCCTCAGCCTCCCCAGTAGCTGGGACTACAGGCGTGCACCACCACATCAGGCTAATATTTTGTATTTTAGTAGAGACAGGGTTTCACCACGTTAGTCAGGATGGTCTCGATCTCCTACTTCGTGATCAGCCCACCTCAGCCTCCCAAAGTGCATGGATTACAGGCGTGAGCCACCACGCCCGGCCTCCTTCCTCTTTCTATCTAGACACTGGACATGATGGCTGGAGACCCAGCAGCTGCCTTGGGACCCTGAGGATGGATGCCACCTTCTGAGTACGGTGGAGCAGGAAGGTAGAAGGAGCCTGGCGACACAGAGCCACCTCCCTGCCTGTGGCCTGCCTAAGCCCAGACTGCACTTACCTGAGATCCAAATGCACTTGTCTTATTTAAGCTTCTGTCATTTCCTGAATATAATTTTCAGCTGGAAAAAGTAACAAAGGCGCCAACTCACCCCACCACACGGGATAGGATGGTTCTGTGGAGTCTGGCGTACTACACGCCACTTGCCCAGCATGTACCGCCTGCTGTGGGCCAACCTGAGGAGAGAAGAAGAGGGTTACACGGGAAGTCAGGGCCTGTGCCATCCAGCCACATAACCCTCGTGAGGATGCATGCAGCATCAGCCATGCTGTTTTGGGCACCCTCAGGCTGTCCAAGACACCTGTCATCTTCAGGGGGTTGCCCCAGACATCTGAGCCCTAACTTTCGTGGGACCTAAAGGCCACAGATGTCTTCAAATCAAGACCCTCCTGTGCCCAGGTTGTGGCCAGTCAGCCTCTGAACCCAGATCAGTGCCTCTAGCTCTGCAGTGGGCCCCTCCCTCCCGAAAATCCCAGCCTCATTTCGGTGTGACTGGCATTCCCATTGGGGGAACAATTGCCCATGATTGTAGGTCCAGCCTTGAGGCCAGGACAGCAGGCTTGGCCATCTGCAGGCAGAGCTGCTGGGCCCAGAAACCTTGGCCCCTGGCAGAATGGGGACTGCCCCACGTGCACTCTTGCAGCTTCCTATGTCTTGCTTTCAGTGTTCAAAACCACCAGACAGAGACGCCTTTCTGCTGAAGCCTGAGTGGCTGGGGGCTGCTCTCTCCTTTCCCAACCCTACATGCCACACAGACACTTTTGGTTGGGAGGTCATTCCATTCTGCATCTACACAGAGATACTGCCCCCTTCTAGTTGTGGTGTTGGCCCTCACCAAGGTTTCTTCTCCCTTGCCAGGTGTTTCCCAGCAGTGCTGGCCCTACCCTCCACTTCTCAGTGAGAGCTTCTGCTTCATCCAGCTTCCTGCTCACCCTGCTTCCCGCCATGGCCTACATTTGGCTCCTGGTTTGGGAGGCCAAGAGTCCCTCAGGAATCTTTGGGATGGCAGTGGCATAAAATCACATAACACTGACTTAAATGCAAAAGGAATGTATTCGATCATGTACCTGTAAAGCCCAGGGTAGACTTCAGGTGAGGCTTGTTCCAGCTGCTCAGACAATTATCACCGAGAACCCAGCACTTTTCTCTCTGCTCTTCCTTCCGTGATGACAGCGTCCTCCTGGTTTTCCTTTGGGAAATGGTCCTCTCCCCTGTGGTTCAAAAGAGGCCGACCTCACAAACTGCAGAGGTGAGGGTTCCACTCACAAGCACCTCCCCACCCCGGCTGAGGAACCCAGGCTGGGGCCAAACTGGCCCGCAGGAGCCCTGGGCCAGAAGAGGCCGTGGAAGGCACAGTAAGGGGTAGGACCTGCAGGCCAGAGGACCTCAGGCATAGAGAATTTCCCAGAGTAGGCCTTAACAGAGCGGCTAAGCGTGAAGGAGAGTGTTTCTTACGAGGGCACGGCCTAAGCAAAGCCATGGGGGAGTGAGACACAAGGTGGGATGCAGGGACAAGCCACAGAGACACAGCTGCCAGGCAGGACAGGGCAGGGCCCATGGGGGGCTACAGGGAACCAGACAGTGTCAGCAGGGAGGGGCTCACAAGCCCCAGCTTCAGCAAGCACACCTGCATCTTTCTCATGGCAGGCTGGGTCCTGACCACATGGCCTTTTCTGTAGCTTCTCCTTCCTCCCAAGGGACCCCGTCTCTCCCTCCAGCCCTGCCAGCCCTGCTCCCATCGCCCCAGCCTGGTCCAGCTGCTCAGCTGTACTCCAGGCCATGTCTGCAAGTCATTAGCAGACAGTGGGGGCCTCCTGCCGTCTGCACCCAGCCAGGAAAGCAAACAGAGCTGGGGGTGGGGGGCATGAAAGGCCAGTCTTGGCCCCGAGGAAACAGCTGGGAAAGGCAAAGGGGCAGGGGCTGTGAGACCCAGGCTTTGGGCAGGGAACTGAGAAGACGTGCAGATTTGGGGGCTGTGGTATCTTTGCAGAGGAGAAAGGGACCTGAACTGGGCTCAGCAGGGAAGTGATAGGAGGCAGCAGTGGCAAAGGAGCATGTGGGTCACCGTGGCCACAGCTCTGTCCTCACAGAGGAGGACACGGGGGCTCAGAGAGGTGAAAGGGCTCCTCGGGAGGTCTTGATGGGGAAGACGCATCCCCCGGGCTTTCTGGGACCCTCCTCTGGCCATTATGGTAACACGGGGGCACTGGGAGAGGTGACCCACCAAGGCTGGAGTGGAGAGGCGGCTGCGGAAGCAGCGCCCCGTTGAAGACGAGGAGGAATGCGGAGGCCTGGCCCAGGGTGGGTGGAGGCTGGATCCTCTCACTGCTCTGAGAAACAGCTGCTGGGACTCCCTTATTACCCAAGAAATCTGACGGTTCTGGTTGTCAGACTGAGCTCGTGTCTACAGGAATAAGCAGAGATGGAGTGGGAGTCAGGCTCTGGTGTTGCTTGGGGGGCCAGTCGAGGCAGGTGCCTTGTACGCACGGCTTACTGAATTGTCACCACCACCTGGGGTAGCATTAACCCATTTTACAGATAAGAGGTTGTGGCTCAGAAACAAAGTCACCTACGCAAGGTCACAGTCTGAGGACTGCAGCCTCCTGGGCCCTGAGGCTCCCTCAGTCCTGGATAAACGGGAGGGGCAGCAGTCAGGTGTGTTCCTGAGAATGAGCAGGAAGGGGCCGGGCCAGCCTGTCGGGCTTCACCCTGTAGGAAGCCCACTCCCATCCATCTCCCTCCCCGCCGGTACATTCTTGGGGTAGGTATCTTGTTCCCGGCCCTGGAGGTGGACCTTTCCTGGCGCCTTCTTATTTAAGGTCAGGGGCACGGAAGGCAGGCTTGCAGTTGGAAGGACCAGGTGCTGGGACTCTGCTGAACAAAGTTTCTTTTCTTCCTCCAGGAAAAGAATGAGGGAGCGAGGGCCAGACCATGGACTCCCCACCAGAGAAGGAAGGGCTTGGCCCAGACAGCGGCTCCACCGGAAGAAAGCAAGGGGTTCTCAGACCAGGGGCCTTCTCTGTTCCAGGGCCTACAAGTTCCAAGTTTGAACTGGTCTCTGTGTTCATCTTCAAAATTTTGGCAAGAACTGGCTTCCGGTTTTCAGGGTGGGAAGCTTCCCGCATGTCACCAAGACGGCTCCAAGGCTCTCCAAGCCACCTCCCCGGCTCACAGGTACCACCCTGAGGACAGGAACATCATGCTGCCATTAAAAAATATGCAATAAAAAAGCAATTTAAAAAGGTAAGTTTCAGTTGGTGTTACTTGGAGTTTTACCTAAAAGAGAGAGCAGAGAAACCATTCAGAAGTATCTTTATGTATAAACAGACCAATTTCTCCTTTTCAGACTTGGCAGCCCACCCGCCCCCACAGGTCCAGGGTTTGAGGCTCCACCGAGAGTCATCGGGCTTGGTCGGAGCCAGCTGCCCCCTGACCCCCGACTCTACCTTCCTTCCCAGCCCCACGCATTCCTCAGTCGACATGTGCTTCCTGAGCACCCACTGTGGGCCCGGCACGGTCTAGAATCTCGGACTACAGCAGTGGACAGAACGGACAAAACGTCCCACGCTCACAGTGCTCAGGCTTCAGCGAGGGGGGCAGACATAAACACACACCGTGCACCGAGGGCGAGGGAAGGAGGGAGGTGAGGACCCGGGGTTGGGGCTGCAGGATGTACAGTGTTCAGCGCTTGGGGAAAGTCTCACTGAGAAGGTAACACGGGAGCAAAGACCTGAAGCAGTGACGGAGCAGACTGCAGGATCCCGGGGGCGGACAGAGAGCTCCAGGCCGAGGGGGGAAAGGCCTGGCATGGAGCAGAAACACGCAGGGGCCAGCCGTTCTGTGCAGCTGCAGTGAAGACACTGAACAGGAGAGTGGCCGGGGAGTGGGAGAGGGGGCACTGAGCTTGCAGCTCCGAGCAGAGGCCGGACAACACCTGGAGTCCAAGTCTGCATGTGGAGAACACACTTGGAGTGGGTTGAATTACGACCCTCTCACCCCGCAAAAAAAGATGTGTCTACATCTCAGAACCTGTGAACGTGACCTTATTTGAAAAAAGAGTCCGTGCAGGTGTAGTTAATTTAATAATCTCAAGATGAGAGCATCCTGGATTATCCAGGTAGACCCTAAATGCAAGCATGTGTCCTTAGAGGAGACACAGAGGAGAGACACAGGGAGAAGAGGAGACCCTCACGGACCACCAAGGTAATGATGTAAGTTATGCATCCACAAGTCAAGGAACACCTGGAGCTGCCAGAAACTGGGAGAGACAAGAAGGATTCTCCCCTAGGCCCTTGCTGACACCTTGATTTGGGACTTCTGGCTTGAAGAACAGTGCAAAGATAAATAGGTGTTGCCATTGAGTCACCCATTTGTAGCAGCTTGTTATGGCAGCCACTGGAAATTAACACCCACTGCAAGGGGTGAGGGTGTAGGTGGGGAAACCAGCATGGGAGGCGCTCTGCAAGACACAGCCACCCAGCTGACTCCCAAGTACATCAGGCCTGCCATGGTCAGCATTTGCTATGTTTACTCACCACCTGGATTTTTTAAAAATGTGTCTCCCTGTTTTCATTTAAATAAACTTATTTTAAAATGCAGTATTACATCACTAAGTTAAATATAAAACTAGATTCATTTCCCATAAATAGAAGGGAACCATGAACATTAATTCAATGAAAACAAAACTTACTCCATTCTAATGACATGTTCTGCTGCCTGCCAAGGTCTCTGAGTCTGTGGCCTCCTCTTTGAGTCTAAAAACATAAAATAGGGCTAGTGTCAGAGAGGCGCCCATGGCGAACTGGCGTCAGAGAGAGCTTCTCCTGCCATGTAACTCCATGTCCCTATACCCGCTAAGGTCAGCATCACTCCCACTTTGCAGGGCCCACACCTAGACAGCACAGCCCTCAAGGCTAACGTCCTCAAGCCCTGGCTGGCCCAGCCAGAGTAACTCTGCGCAACGCCGGCATACACAGGGTGGTGTTGGTGCTGTAAATCCAGCAAAATTCAGACTGAGGCGTGGGCAACAGAGTTTTCATGACGGGATGGGATGGGGTGGGGGCGGGATTGGCTGCCCTAGGGAGGTTGGAAGAAGGCGGCTACCTTGTGTCAGGAAACTTGGGGGGTCGGGGTGGGGGAAGTCGCAGGAGCCAGGCTAGGACCCAGGGCTGACCCCAAAGGGGACCCCTGTGAAGAAATGGTTGAAATTGGAGTGAGCTTTCCCTTTGGACAGTGGAGACAGTCCTAGGATGAGCCCAGTTTGGTTGGTAGTTTTAGATGTTGAGAGAGAAAGTGAAATGCACCCGTGTTTAGCTGCAGGTTGATTTCGCCATGCACGGTTTTTAAGTCACATGCACTAACTCGTACTCGAATTCCTCAACCCACAGAGCCAAAAAAGCACTGTGCCTCGGAGGGATTCCTGTGGCTGGGCTCCAGGGCCCACGCAAAGGAGTGACACGGGGCACCATGTAAATACCTGTCTGGTTCAGACACAAGCTTCCTTACATCAAAACAGCGTGAAATTGTAGGAGACCCAAATTCCAAGCCAGGAATTCAGAAGTGGAAGAAATCAGTGCCAGATGACTTTGCTTTGCCTTGCGGATGCCGTTCACACCCTGCCCCAGGAGCCTGACACTAGGGGGGACCAACAGGCCTTCCTGAGAGGGAGTGGCTCCGCAGGGTCACCTTGGGCTGGCCTTGTTCCTTTGCTAAGGGTCACAGATCCTGGGAGGTGGCTCCTCTCCGACCCCAGCAGGACAGCCCTGGAGGGCTGCACTCTCCTTGGGGCTCTCCTGCACCCTCCCCACACCTTGGTAGAGTGTCTCATTAAACTCTCCACCAAAGAAGGACATTCTGCAATATCTGAGAACATGGATGAATCCGGAGGGCATTACGCTAAGTGAAATAAGCCACTCAGAAGGACAAATACTGCCAGATTCCACTTATATCAGGTGTCTAAAATAGGCAAACTCATAGAAGTAGAGAAAAGAACGGTGGTTGCCAGTGACTGGGGGCTGGGGACACTGGGGAATTGTTTCTCAATGGCTTACAAAGTTCTGTTATGCAAGATGGATAAGTTCTAGAACTCAGTGCCCAGAGTTCATGATTCGGAATTATACACTTTAAAATATGTTAGTCAAAAAAATTAGCCAGGTGCGGTAGCACCTGCCTGTAGTCCCAGCGACTCAGAAGGCTGAAGCAGGAGAATCGCTTGAACCTGGGAGGCGGAGGTTGCAGTGAGCCGGGACTGCGCCACTGCACTCCAGCCTGGGTGACAGAGTGAGATTCCCTCTCAATAAATAAATAGATAAAATATGTTAGGAGGGTGGCTCTCGTGTTGGGTTCTTACAAAAATAAAAATAAAAGAACAAAAGGAAATTTTCAGAGGTGATGGATATGTTTAGTACCTTGGCTGTGATGGTATCCCAGGTATATGTATATCTTCAAACTCACCAAGATGTATACATCAAATGTGTGCAATTTTTGTATATCAGTTATACCTCGACAAAGCTTTAAAACAAACCAAACTCTCCTCAACTTACCATATTTGAATGTGCCCCAGGAAACAGATCCTCAAAATAGTCTCTGGGATCTGGCTGCTCACGTATTTGAGGAACACACAGCTCACACCTCCTCGCCAGAAAGAAATGGGACTTGGGACATCTGGCCTGCGGTGGCATCGTGATTACTCAAAGGATGTCTGGTAATAGCAAGAGATAAGGAGGCCAAGGCGTTGGAACAGCAAGTGGCTGCCACCCTAGCTGCTATGGCAACCATGGCCCAGGGAATAGTATCTACTCTAGAGCATCATTTTTCTTTTTTCTTTCCTTTTTTTTTTTTTTTTTTTGAGATGGAGTCTCTCTCTGTCGCCCAGGCCGGAGTGCAGTGGGGCGATCTCGGCTCACAGCAAGCTCCGCCTCCCGGGTTCACGCCATTCTCCTGCCTCAGCCTCCCGAGTAGCTGGGACTACAGGCGCCCACCACCACGCCCGGCTAATTTTTTGTATTTTTAGTAGAGACGGGGTTTCACCGTGTGAGCCAGGCTGGTCTCGATCTCCTGACCTCGTGATCTGCCTGCTTTGGCCTCCCAAAGTGCTGGCATTACATAGAAATTTTTTTAAATGACCCTTCCCCACAGAAAGCTTGAGAAGTGCTAGTGTCCCTAGGAATAAGGAGAAACTGACAGCTAAGCACGTCCAGGTGCACATGCAGGTGGAGGATGGCAACGCTCCACGGCAGCCTTGGCAGTGCTTTCATCTCCTGAGCAGCAGGGCAGATGAACTGCAAAGGTGCAGAGCTGCAGTGACAATTGAATGCTCAATGTGGCCGGGGTCCATCACACACAAGAAAGACGTGGGACCCTGAGACTTGGGAGACAGACAAGTCAGATAGGCACAAATGAGACTGAGAGCCCTGAATCCTCAGACTTCCTGAGTCTCCCTGGACAACAGAGGCAGTTCTCCAGCCCAGGGAGCTGGCCTCCCCTATGGAAGAGCCTTTCCATGATTCCCTGAATCCTCAGACCCCCTGAGTCTCTCTGGACAACAGAGGCAGTTCTCCAGCCCAGGGAGCTGGCCTCCCCTATGGAAGGGCCTTTCCATGAGTCCATGAATCCTCAGACCCCCTGAGTCTCTGGACAACAGAGGCAGTTCTCCAGCCCAGGGAGCTGGCCTCCCCTATGGAGGAGCCTTTCCATGAGTCCATGATTCTGCCTGCATACACCTGCACCCTCCGGAGCCGCTGTGCCATCAGAAGCCCAGAGACTATGGGGAGTGGATGGAGGAGAGAGGATGGATTCCAACGCATTTGGCCAAGGGGATGAAATGTGAGATTCAGTCAGCCCACAGTCATTGACATGGACACACCCTATGGTCCCGCTGGATGTGATGTGCCGGCTGGAGAGGAGGGAGAGATGCTATCGGTCTGCGGGTTGGCTGATGGAAGCTTTGAAGGAACATGGCTGAAATGTTGGAATGTCCTGGCACACTGAGTCTGGAGACCTAGGGACGTAGGCATTTGGGACACTTCCTCCACTGTGGATGCCCTTGAGTGGGTATTCACGGAAGCTGCCAATATCATCATGCTGTGCCCATTACAAGTGCCCCAGCCACACGACTTGCCTCCAGACCACCTGGCCCCCAAATTTCCAATCTCATTCTTTCCGGATCCTGCCCAGGCAATCAAGCTGTTTGCCACTGCCCCTGAGTCTGGGTATTTGTAGTGAGATTTTCACCCCAGGTCTCCCAGCAAAGCAAAGGCTTGGGCAGCCATGTTCTGACCTGTTGTTTCTCTCCTATGCCGTGTTAAAAACATGCTATCACATGTGAAAAACATGGGTGGTGGCTAACATTTTCGGTTTCCAGTAGGACCAAACCAAGGAGCCAACCCCACCCCACAATGACACTACGGCTCAGGGTTTAGCAAACTATGAACCCGATTTGCTCTGCCATCTGCTTTTGTAAACAAAGTTTTATTGGGACACAGCCACACTCATTCGCGTATGGATTGTCCACGGCCACAGCCAAGCTGAGTTGCAACAAAGATGATATGGCTCACAAAACTTCAGTATTTACTATCCGATACTTTCTGGAAAAAGTCGCCAACCCTGCTGTTGCTATCAGGAATTACTGTACCCCTCTTTGGTGACATAAAGTTTTACCTGAATGAACTGGGTGCTGAGGAGAGAAGGGGTGAGCTGTTTTGGAGATCTTCCATCTACCTTTCCTGACCCACCCTCCACTTTTCTCCATCCTGTTCTGTATTCCAGGAGGCTGGTTATGGGTCACATGGAAAGGGCTCTTTTTTCTTGTCACTTCGAGTGGGGTTCAGCCCAAGGGAGGTGTTTAGCAGAAGACTGGAGGGAGAGAGAAGAAGAAAATCCTTCCTGCAGGGCCTCCTGCGTCCCACAGCCGAAGGTCACAGCTTCTATCAGACAAACTCCACACAGCCCTTTCAGCCTCAGAGTTCCAGAAACTTCTCTCTCCCATTGCTCCTTCTGGCCTAGAAACAGTAACGGTTCCCTGCTGTTACTAGCACCAGAGTACTGCCTGTGTTCTCCTCACACCCTGTCCTCACCTTCACACACCTTCTACTAACATCTTCTCAAACTACCTATTTTGAGGGTGCCACCTGTATCCTGCAGGAATATAAAATGTAACTGCTTATTTTTTTCTATAACTATTTTTTTTCGGAGATAAGAGTCTCACTCTGTTGCCCAGGCTCAAGGGCAGTGGCTTGATCATAACTCATTGCAACCTCAAACTCCTAACTGAAGCAATTCTCCTGCCTCAGTCTCCTGAGTAGCTGGGACTACAGGCATGTGCCACCATGCCCAGCTCATTTTTCATTTTTGTAGAAATGGGATCTTGCTGTGTTGCCCAGGATGATCTCAAACTCCCAGGCTCAAGTGATTCTCCTGCCTCGGCCTCCCAATGTGCTGAGATTACGGGCATGAGCCAGCATAACTAAGCCTACAACTAAGTTTAATTTGAATTTTGTGCCCCATTCCACCAGGATGGAGTTCAATTTCAGTTTTCTGGTTATCTCCATTAGTTCAGGGTTTCACACACACATGCGTCACACATATCTGCCCCTGCCTTCTCTGGGATTTCGTGAGAATAAAGTGGCCTCACAACTGATTTGTGGGGTACAGTCCCAGCTTACTTCTGTTGTCTTGGCATGGTTACAAACAACACACCTCTTTACTCTCAGAGTCCCTGGTTTAGACAGGAAATTATGCGGTGACCCTATGTAGAAAGCACTAGGTTGGTCTGGGGGACGATCTTGTTCTCTGTTCGTAATATCCAGCTGGCACCAGCCACAATGGCCCTTATCTAGTCTGGCCCTGAGTTTTCAGTCCTCAAAGTTTCCAGCAGCCTCCTCCTCCTCTCCTGACCACAGAGCCTGCCCCATTCTGTCCTCCTCAGCTTCTTCCGCCTCCTCGGCTCTAGGCACTTGGCATATATCAGTGAACAAAACAGAAAAGAAAAAAAAAAAAAAAGCCCTGCTTGCAAGGAGTTTTCTTCTTTTATATTTTCTAAAAGATGTTTTTAGGCTATGAACTTTCCTGTGAATACCACTGTGTATGCATCCCGCACCTTATAGGTTTTAATATACACGTTCTTACACAGTTTCAGTTCTTTTTTTTTTTTTTTTTTTTTTGAGTTGTAGTCTCGCTTTGTCGCCCAGGCTAGAGTGCAGTGGCGCGATCTCGGCTCACTGCAAGCTCCGCCTCCCGGGTTCACACCATTCTCCTGCCTCAGCCTCCCGAGTAGCTGGGACTACAGGCGCCCTTCACCACGCCCGGCTAATTTTTTGTATTTTTAGTAGGACGGGGTTTCACCACATTAGCCAGGATGGTGTCCATCTCCTGACCTCATGATCCGTCCACCTCGGCCTCCCAGAGTCCTGGGATTACAGGCATGAGCCACCGCGCCTGGCCCACAGTTTCAGTTCTAATGTCCTCTTCTGCTCTAGGCTTATTTTTTTTTCTTTTTTCTTTTTTTTTTTTTTTTGGTTTTTTTTTTTTTTTTTTTGAGACAGAGTTTTGCTCTTGTTGCCCAGGCTGGAAAGCAGTGGCATGATCTCGGCTCACTCCAAGTTCCGTCTCCTGGGTTCAAGTGATTCTCCTGCCTCAGCCTCCTGAGTAGCTGGGACTACAGGCACACGCCACCACGCCCAGCTAATTTTGTATTTTTAGTAGAGACGGGGTTTCACCATGTTGGCCAGGATGGTCTCGATTTCTTGACCTCGTGATCCACCTGCCTCGGCCTCCCAAAGTGCTGGGATTACAGGCGTGAGCCACCACGCCTGGCAGAGATTTTTTTTTTTTAATTATCCTCTTATTGTAACCAGAAAAATATTTTTGCTTGATTTCTATTTTTTTTGAAAATACTTAAATTTACTATAGAATTTTATGAACATTCCTGTTACCTTCTCTTATGTTATCCTCACAAGTTATTGAGCTGGAGTATAATTCCCATTTCACATGTGAGTCCACATGTCTGGAGAGAGCTGAGCTAGCAATGAAGAGCCTTGGGATCAGAGCAGAGATCCAAACCCTAACCCAGCAGGCTCAAAGCAGCCCTGTTCCCTGCCATGAGAGGGTTCCAGGTATGGAGGCCATGCCTGGGAGGCCACAGAAATGGAGCTCTCTGGGGGAAGCGCCTGCTGGGCAGTTGCTTCTCAGCCCAGGCCTGAGCTTTGCACCGTCTCAGTGGTTGGTAGCGGAGGAATGAGGCTGTGCAGTCGCCCTCTCAGGCCCAGTAAGACACCTGATTGCCTCTGCCCAACCCCACTCCTCAGATCCCAGGGGCAGCCCTGGCCCCCCAGCTTGTCCCTTCCTCTAGGAGGGAGGTTACTAAGGCCCTGCTCGCCCAGCCAGGGTCCTCCCAGAGGGAGCTGGAAACAGGATGGAAGCTTGGCTAAGGCCTGGTGATGGAAGCTGCGGCTTGGCCTGCAAGGGGGCACCCCAGGGGCACTGGGCAGGGTCTGGGCGTCAGGCAAGTAGCCAGGTTGAATTAGGTGACTGCTGTCAACGGAGCAGTCAGGAAGGCTTCTCTGAAGTGGGGACAAGAGCCACCTGGGAAGGGAGGAAGCCTTCAGGCCGGGGAAACAGCAACCGCCAAGGCCTGGAAGAGGAGCAGCAGTTTCTTGTGCTATCCACTTTCCCTGCCATTAGAGAATGGAGCTCACATACCACTCGTGGCCCTGGAGATCACACATGCCCGGCCTCCAGCTCCCCCTTTGCGTGCGCACACACACACGCAAAACCTCTCACACCACGACTCCAGGATACGGTGGGCCCCTCTGAAAGCATCCCTAAGTGGGCCGCAGGCAAGTTTAGGGGGTGCCGGAGCTCATGCCAAAGCCCGGAGTGCAGTCCCACCTGAAGGCAGGAGTCCGCACCAGCTGGTGGCCTGGAGCTCATGCCAAAGCCCGGAGTGCAGCTCCACCTGAAGGCAGGAGTCCGCACCAGCTGGTGGCCACCTCGAGGGCCCTTGACCTGCCGGATGATCCACACAAGGCGCCCAGCCTCTCGGGCCCCTCTCCCATCTGTCCAGTGGGTGGATTGGTCCAAAGGCCTGAGACTCTCTGTAGCCCCACCACTGTCTGACTCACTCGCGATCTGAAAACAGGCAGCACACAGCTCATTTTCCTCATCCGATGACAAGACAATTTCCCAAAATCCCTTTTAGCTGGGAGGGGTGACAGAAAGGCCATCTGGCCAACACCCATCCTTGCAGCCAGTGATCATTTATTTCCCAGCTGTGTGTTCTGAAGAAAATAATGAAGGCTCTGAATGCCACCGCCAGGGTGGCTTTGCAGCTGTTCTTGGCAGTGACCCCGCTGCAGAACCCCCACTGACGGAGCGTCCTTCCCCAGCTTGAGCCGCACCCATCGGACTCCACCAGGGACACTTGAGTTTAGCTCACAGGGAACCAGAAGCAGCTGCCCCTCCCCATGGACAGCCTGCCCCTCCCTGAGCTGTGGCTCTGGGACCTTCTCTGGCCTGGCCCCTGCCCTGCCTGCAGGCTTCCTCACTGTCCTCTGAGCATGCACGCTGTGCCACGCAGTTTGCAGAGCCTGTTCTCTTCTGTCCTCATGACTGCCTGGGAGCTAGGCCTTCCCAGCCCCGTTTTACAGATGAGGAAATCAAGGCTCCAGGAGATGTGGGGGCTTGCCCAAAGTCACAGGCCAGCAGGAGCAGGCACCTGAGTGCAGATCAGGCCTCCTGGCACGGGTTCCTCTGCATCTTCCCCGTCCCCGCCCTCCACCTCTTCCCATCCAGGTCCCCCGACTCTGACCAGCCTCCAGCCCAGCTCCTTCTCTAAGCCCCAGATACATATCCAAGTGCCCATGTACCTCTCCACTGCAGAATGGGGTGTCCACTGGCACCTATCCAACCAGGCGCAACCATGTTCCTCACCTCCCCAGCCTGCTGCTGCCTTTGTTCTGAAAGCCAGCCTCGGCGCTCCTGGTGCCCTCCAGGGCTGGATCCATGGGGCATGCCACGCTTCCTTCCCTCCCTCCCCTCCCCAGCAGCTCTGGGACCGTTTGTGCTCCCCTGAAGCCTCCCGCCCACCCAGCATCCCACTGCCCCAGGGATCTTCCTAAAGTGCAGGTCCCTCCAGGTCACTTCTGTGTAAGGCCCTCCGCTGAGCCTCCCACAATGGAGGGCATGGGGAAGGACTGCCCAGCCCGCCCTATCTGTGGGCCCCACACCCTAGGCTCCCGGGCTCCACCTGCAGCACCCCATGAGGTTCCTACTTCAACCCATTGGGCTCCCCTCCCTACACACTTCCCTTCCGCCTGGCCCTGACTGCCCTGACGTCCCTCCCACTGGCCCAGGCCGACTCTTACACATTTGTGATGGACAAAAGGTTTTTTACAGGCTGGGCACGGTGGCTCAAGGCCTGGCGCAGTGGCTCATGCCTGTAATCCCAGCATTTTGGGAGGTTGAGGTGGGCGGATCATGAGGTCAGGAGTTCGAGACCAGCCTGGCCTACATAGTGAAATCCCATCTCTACTAAAAATACAAAAAAATTAGCTGAGCGTGGTGGTGTGCACCTGTAATCCCAGCTACTCGGGAGGCTGAGGCAGGAGAGTTGCTTGAACATGGGAGGTGGAGGTTGCAGTGAGCCGAGATCGCACCATTGCACTCAAGCCCGGGCAACAGTGCAAGACTCGGTCTCAAAAAAAAAAAAACAAGTTGTTTACAACCCATCGTCCATGCCTTGGTCTGTTAACAGCACCTCAGATTTGTCTGGGAGATGTCCAGCCCACCCCACCCCACCCCACGATGGGTGTGAAGCCCAGACCTGTAGTGACCATACAGTGACTGGCTCAGGGATGCATGATTCCCAACACAACCTGAGGAAATCCCAGCTCTTCCTCTGAACTTTTGGGGATGGGCGCTTGCTGTCCACTGGGGTTGCTAAGTCAGTAGGATACAAGCCTGGAACCTTCAGGGCCACCAGGCAAAGAAAACCGACCTAAAGCAGCACAGAGAAAAGCAGAGCTGAGAGACGGAGACAGGAGGAGACCTCAGTATCCGAGTGTCTGGATCCAGCTGTGCCTGCACCTGCCCATGAATTTTTCAGTTATGTGAACTAATTAAGTCCCCTTTTGACTGGCACCACTTTGAGTTTTTTCACCCAGTTGCATAGCATCAAGACTGGCTCCAGTGACCCTCTACTCCTAGGCACGGCAGGTGGCACCAGGAAGAACTGCCTGAGCCCCTGGACCCACTTGGGAACAGTACATTTCCTTTCTTTTTTGCTTCAGCTGATTTGAGGTGAGTTCTGCCCCACAGGCTTGAGGCCTGTGCTCGGCGGGACTCCAGGCTAGACTCAGAGTCAGGGGACAGAAGCTGGGAGAAGGCAGGAGAGCCTTGTGCTCAGTGGAGCTCTTGGGGCCCATCACTGTGATCCATCGAGGCACCGCAGTCACAGACTACAAGAATTTTTTCTTTTGTTTTTTTTTGAGACAGAGTCTCACTCTCGCCCAGGCTGGAGTGCAGCGGCATGATCTCGGCTCACTGCAAGCTCCGCCTCCCGGGTTCACGCCATTCTCCTGCCTCAGCCTCCCCAGTAGCTGGGACTACAGGCCCCCGCCACCACGCCCGGCTAATTTTTTTGTATTTTTAGTAGAGACGGGGTTTCACCATGTTAGCCAGGATGGTCTCGATCTCCTGACCTCGTGATCCACCCGCCTCGGCCTCCCAAAGTGCTGGGATTACAGGCGTGAACCACCGCGCCCGGCCAGGGATCTTCTTGTTGGCCCATGAGAGAACAGTGTCGCACCTCAAATGGTTTTCCAGACAGCAGGTATAGAGGCACCTGGCATGAAGTCTCATGATAGTCAGGATCTAGGACCCCCGAGTGGGCAGTCACTGTGACCTGCCTATGTTTAGGGTCAGCGGGCGCCAAGACAGGGTTGGCGAGTCCCTTCCAGGAAAGTGGCCCCTGCCATCAGGATCTCTGCTGTGACTCCATCTATGCACCTGCACCACTGGGACGTGCCAGGCTGGAAGGCTGGGAGTCTGGATGCTGGCTTGTTTTCAGTTATTTTTGCTCACCAACATCTGCAGATTCATGAGACGGTCCAAATCATTTCACTCCACTGATTGAGATCGTGATGTGGGGCAGTTTGCACCCCTAGAGGACACAGAGCCCCTTGTTCTCCCTGCCCTGACTTCTCTGCCAAGGAGCAGACTAGCCAGACAGGCTGGTGCCAAGAGGCCCGTGACCCCAACTCAGCAGCCTGGGCAGATGGGGGAGGCACCAGGGACTCCTGAGAGGAGCTGCTGGTGGGAAGGGAGGTCCAGCTCATTACACTTCTGTAGGTGTGGTCCTGTCCAGCCTATGAGGGCTCCAGGACAAAGGCCTGGCACAAGCCTCCATGGCCCCCTGGACGCGCAGCATTCCCGGGCCCTGCTTACAGGCCTGCCACTAGCCACTTTGCAGGCAGGACAGGGAAACCACGCTGCTTCTCCCAGGCAAGGGGCCAGCCTTTCTGCTTCCAGAACACCACGGTCAAGAAGCCTTCCCTCCAGATTCAGAGGTTCCCCATCTTTTTTGGTTGGAGGATGATGAAAATGTTCTCAAACTGATGGTGATGAAGGCCGCACGACTCTGGTCATGTACTAGATGACACTGAATCATACACCTTATTTTTCCCCCGTTTTACTGTGGCATAATTGACAAATGGACATTGTACATATTTGTGGCATACAGTGTGATGTTTTGATACAGATAGACATCATGAGACGACTAACACCAACCAACTAACATATCCATCACTTCACACGTTATTGGGGTTTGTGGTGTTTTGTTTGTCATTTCACACCGTTATTGGGGTTTGTGGTGTTTTGTTTGTCATTTCACACCGTTATTGGGGTTTGTGGTGTTTTGTTTTGTTTTTGTGGTGACAGCATTGGCGATCTACTTTCTTAGCAATTTTTCAGTACACACATGCTGTACCTGAGGTCTCCAGCACACATTTCCCCTGTCTAACAAAACCGCACCCACTCACCAACACTCCCTATTTTATACACATTAAGCGGGTGAATTGTATGTAAGTGAATTATATCTCAGTAAAGCTGTTAAAAATAAAGCAAGAGCACAATGAGGATTATGCAATACAACAACGTTGCTGTAGCCCTCTTCTTCTGCTTAGCAATATAACCTGTGTCTGAGTCTCAGGGCTGCGTGACCTTTCCTGGTGGGCATGTTCCATTCTTCACGTAACCCGTCCCTATTGAGGGATGTGGGTTATTTTCAACGTTTGCTAAGTATAAACAGCACCAGGTGAACATCTCAAATATTTTTTGCCCAGTTGTTCATTATCCCATTAGAATAATGCGTCAGAAAATAGACATTTTAAGGTCGTTCATATATACTACCAAATTTCTCTCTAGAAAGTTGTACCCCCAGCACTTTGGGAGGCCGAGGTGGGACAATCACTTGAGGCCAGGAGTTCGAGACCAGCTTGGCCAACATAGCGAAACCCCGTCTCTACTAAAAATACAAAAATTAGCCAGGCATGATGGTGCATGCCTGTAATCCCAGCATGAGAATCTCTTGAGCCTGGGAGGCAGAAATTGCAGTGAGCTGAGATCGCGCCACTGCACTCCAGGCTGGATGACAGAGTGAGACTCCGTCTCAAAAAAATCAAACAAACAAAAAAGAAAGTTGTACCCATGGATACTCTCCCCAGCAGTGTATGAGAGTGCCAGCTGCCTCCGTCTGATGCAAGAGGAGAATGCCAGAGGCTCGAAGCCGCAGGGAGTCAAGGCTCGGCCCTGGCCAGCCCAACTATGGAGCCAGGACTGTCCACACCCTGCAGCCGCCTCTTGTGGGCACCGGCATTTCTACACATCCCTCCCTTGTCTTCACATCTCCGGCCACTCTGGGCTCCGGGCCCTGGGGCTGCTGCTTTTCCAGCAGCACGTGGTGCCCACACAGTCTCAGTGCCTGCTCCGGGCCAGGCAGGAAATGGACATTCACGGGAGCACAGTTACAGAGGGTTTGCAGGCTGTAAAAACACTTGCTACTCTCAGACCACCCCAAGATGGGAGAGCGAATGGCATGGGGAAGTTGTGAAAGTTCTCATGGATTCCGTATTTTACAAGTCTTAGAAACACACTAGCCATGTGTGGATACTGTTTGTACACTGATTTGAACCAACAAGCTGTAAAAAGATGTTTTTGAGACAATCGAGGAAGTAGGAATAGGAAGTGAGTGTTAGATACTATTAAGGTATTATGAGTTTTGTTTGCTGTGATACTGGTATCATGGTCATAAGAGTCTTTACTTTAAAATCCACATCATGAATTACAGGCATACCCGGAAGATACTTTGTGTTTGGTTCCAGACCATCACAATAAAGTGAATATCCTAATAAAGTGAGTCACACAAGTTTTTTGGTTTCCCAGTGTATATAAAAGTTATGTTTAGGCCGGGCACATTGGCTCATGCCTGTAATCCTAGCACTTTGGGAGGCTGAGGTGAGTGGATCACCTGAGGTCAGGAGTTCGAGACCAGCCTGGCCAACATGGTGAAACCCTGTCTCTACTAAAAATACAAAAATTAGCCAGGCGTGGTGGCACGTGCCTATAGTCCCAGCTACTCGGGAGGCCGAGGCAGGAGAATCCCTTGAACCTGGAAGGCAGAGGGTGTAGTGAGCCGAGATCACGCCACTTCACTCCAGCATGGGCGACACAGTGAAACTCTGTCTCAAAACAACAACAACAACAAAAGTTATGTTTATACTATGGTCTATTATTATTATTATTAATTTTGAGACAGACTCTTGCTCTATCGCCCAGGCTGGAGTGCAGTGGCTCGATCTCGGCTCACTGAAACTCTGCCTCCCAGGTTCAAGTGATTCTCCTGCCTTGGCCTCCTGAGTAGCTGGGACTACAGGCACGCGCCACCACGCCTGGCTAACTTTGGTATTTTTGGTAGAAACAGGGTTTCACCATGTTGGCCAGGTTGGTCTCGAACTCCTGACCTTGTGATCAGCCCGCTTTGGCCTCCCAAAGTGCTGGGATTACAGGCATGAGCCACTGCGCCCGGCCTACTATAGTCTATTAAGTGTGCAATAGCATTGTGTCTAAAAAATGCACATATTTTAATCTTAAGATACTTTATTGCTAAAAAATGCTAACACAGAGACACAAAGTGAGTACTACATGCTGTTAAAAAATGCTAACACAGGGACATAAAGTGACACAAAGTGACTACATGCTGTTGAAAAAATGCACCGATAGACTTGCTCAATGCAGGGTTGCCACAAACCTTCAATTTAGTGAAAAATTCAATTTTTGAAAAATGCAATAAGGCAAAGTACAAGAAAATGAGGTATGCCTGTATTAGCAAATCAAACCATATCAGGATTTGGTCCAGCAAAACAAAACAAAGCAAAAACTGTAGGGATAGATGGAGCAAGACAGGCCAAATGTTGATAATAGCTGACTCTGGGTGATGAGTACGTGGAAGTCCATCAGATTATTTTTGTGTATGTGTGAAATTTTTCATAACAAAAATACATGTGTGTATACATATCCTTTAAGATCAGAAAGATTTTCTGAAGATAATATTATCGAGAAAAGAAAGTCAAAAAGTGATTTACAAGAAAAGGAAGATGAGTTTCGTAAATGGGTCTAGTTATTTCCAAACATAAGCAACACGTGGCCATATCCTCAGAATGTGGAAGCCCCGTTTTATTGGCTTGGCTTGTCTATGAATACACCTGGGAGTTGTTTTCCCTCCTAGAGCCATTATGAGCTCCCTTTATGTCAGCTCAGGCTGGGTAGAGAAAATCTCCACCCCCAGCAACAGTGCGACTCACTTATGTGAAAGGATGGAGCAGATGCCCCGGTGAGCACTCATGGGTTCTCCGGCAACAGGCTTCCGGGGGCATCGTGAGCTGTGAGACCTCCACTCTCACTGCTCCATGGAAGATTAAAGTTATGGTGTCAGTCATCTCACAGATTATGTAAACAGGTGGTAGTGCTACCAGCATCCCATGAGAAACCTCGAGGAATTTCACAAAGATCAGTGCTTGAAGACCATATCACAGGAAGGCTTCCCAGAAGGGAAGGGCCCACCTCCACCGTGCAGTGTGCATGAAGATAAGGAATGCCTAAGTGACTGGGCAGGCTGCTTGGAAGACCTCTAAACACTGCCAGGCCCAGGGCAGCAAAGGCCAGAGGAGAGGGCAAATGGTGCAGAAGTCCCTGGGGACAAGGGTCAACCTCGCCAGGCAAGCCAAGGCCCCCATCCAAGCAAGGAACAAAAAGCCTGAGGAGGCTGGGTGTGGTGGCTCACGCCGGTAATCCCAGCACTTCGGGAGGCCGAGGCAGGCTGATCACTTGACCTCAGGAGTTTGAGACCAGCCTGAGCAGCACGGTGAAACCCCATCTCTACAAAAAATACAAAAATTAGACAGGCGTGGTGGTGTGTGCCTGTGGTCCCAGCTACTCAGGAAGCTGAGATGGGAGGATCGCTTGAGCCTGGGAGGTGGAGGTTGCAGTGAGCCAAGATCGTACCACTGCACTCCAGCCTGGGTGGCAGAGAAGTCTAGGCAAGCGTGGCTATGGGAAGGGCTGGACCAGGCACACAGATCTTCTTTCCCGTTTTATCCCCACTCTCAGAGTCTCTCCACTTGGATCAAGTTGAAACCCCACAAGCAAAACCCCAGTCTCGCATTCTCATACCTTAGTAACTCTGCGGGAAAGAGACCCTCTCTTTTCTGATGAGTCCAGCAAGACTCCTCTGAGATGACACCTGCTAGTTCTCGTCAGGCTGATTGAGGTCCCCTGTCCAGCCTGGAGCTAGACTGTGTTGATTGGCAGCCCCTCACGATCCAGCAGGCTGAGTGGAGAGAAGGGGTGATTCCACAGAAGAAGTCAGGGTGCTATCCCCAGTGGAGAGGGAAGCAGGCACAGATGACCCCCCTGCCTGTTGGTCACTCCAGAAGGTACCATTGCTGGCTCACTTAGTGGACACCCTCCCTAAGCCTCCTACCTGCACCAGCAGAGGCTGGGAGAGTCTCATGTCCCACCCAGCTGCCTAGACGCACAGGGAAACAAGGCCGCTCAGGGGGCAGGGAGTGGCTCCAGGCATGCTCTGGGGTCTGGCCCATGCCCTTTGGTGCTGAGCTGACGTTTGCTTGGGATGCTGCCCATTCCTGTCTGCATGGCTCACCCAAAACCCACTGTCTGGAGGGAGACACCAGAAGTGTCCTGGGTCCCAAACCTTCAACTTCTGTCCCTGTACTGAGTTCTAAGAATTACAGCCAAATGCCTCTGCTAGACTCAGAGGAGACATTCAGCACCACACTCAGAGCGCTTCCTACTCTTCCTACCCGCCCCCCAGCCCGCAACCTGTAGGACTTCTGCAGTATGTGGTGTTGCTGGCTCAGCTGCCTATGGGGCCAGGCGGGAACCCCAGGCAAGTAGCACAGCCAGCACCCAGCCTAGGCATTGGGATAGGAAGAACTTGGAGGCAACCCCCTTGAAGAAACAGCCACACTCAGTGCTGGGCAACTGCTGCACTTCTCACACTGGTCCTGAGACACTGGGAGTCCAACCTTGGGGCTTTTTTTTTTTTTTGAGACAGAGTCTCACTCTGTCACCCAGGTTAGAGTGCAGTAGCATGATCTCGGCTCACTGAAACTTCTGCCTCCCGGGTTCAAGCAATTCTCTGCCTCAGCCTCCCAAGTAGCTGGGATTACAGGCACCTGCCAGCACCTCTGGCTAATTTTTCGTATTTTTAGTAGAGACGGGGTTTCACCATCTTGGCCAGGCTGGTCTTGAACTCCTGACCTCATGATCCACCCGCCTCGGCCTCCCAAAGTGCTGGGATGACAGGCGTGAGCCACCCCGCCTGGCCCCAAACTTGGGCCTTTCTCACTCTCAGCTTACTAGACAAGAATGCAAGGAAACAGGCGGCAGCCAGAGTGACAAGTGTTCCGGTTCGTCCAGGACTGAGGGGTTCCCTGGGACGTGGGAATTTCAGTGTTAGAACCAGGACAGTCCTGGACAGACACAGACAGCTGGTGCCCCGAGGCTGCAGCCTTGGACACAGTGATTGAGGAGCATTTCTTGATGGGAGTGTGCAGGTGTAAGGGGGTGCCCAGCTGGAGAAAGGCCACTCCTAGACCTGAAGGGGCTGGACCCCGAGAGTGTAGCTGCGGGAGAGAAAACCACATAGAACCTGAGGCCCATGGAAGAGACTCAGTTGCCTCCTGGAGGGCAAATATCCTGACCTCACTCCCCACCCTTCCTGGACCTCCTGTTGGGTGTCGTTCATTAGCCAAAGCCCACCAGAAGCCAGAGGGCCCTGGCCCCCTGATGAAGCCAGACTCACAGGGCACAGAGCAGGAGGAGTGGGTGGAGAGGGGATCTGCAGGGGTGCAGGGTAAACATTGGCACAGAGGCAAAGTTTAGGTCAAGAGAGCCAAAAGTAGGCCCCTCAGAAGAAGGCAAACCTGCCAGGGCAGGGCCCACCTCTCCACAATCACCATGGTAGCTTGAGTGAGTGGGCCAGGCCATTCTAGGCTCTCTGGCCTGCATCACAGCTGCCCCTCTGGGGCATGTGCTCTGGGAAGCCTGGAGTTCCTCATACTCGGGGCTCCTTCCCCCAGGGCTCCTGGCCAGGGCTGCTGTAACCCCAGAGCACACGTGCATCTTCCTGGGAAAGCATGCAGACGCGGCCCTTTGCTGGCCACAGTAGCTCTTGTGCAGCCAGCCAGAGCCCCCTTCCTAGGCTGCTGTCCTGGAGGACTCTGGACACCAGGCTGCCCTGGAACCCTGCTGATTTCCTGAGCCAGGTTCTCAGGGCTTCCCATTGACTGTGTGAGCTCCTCACCCCCTGCCAACAGCAGCCGTATACAGGTCCATCACATACAGCCCTCAAGCGGCCCAGTGCAGACACCCTCTGCTGAGGGTTGAACTCCATGGCCAGGCCTGGGTTGAGCACTGCCATTAAAGAAAGGACCCACAGCCGGGTGCGGTGGCTCAAGCCTGTAATCCCAGCACTTTGGGAGGCCGAGGCGGGCAGATCACGAAGTCAGGGGATCGAGACCATCCTGGCTAACACGGTGAAACCCCGTCTCTACTAAAAATACAAAAACAAAGTTAGCCGGGCGTGGTGGCGGGCACCTGTAGTCCCAGCTACTCGGGAGGCTGAAGCAGGAGAATGGCGTGAACCCGGGAGGCGGAGCCTGCAGTGAGCCGAGATCGCGCCACTGCACTCCAGCCTGGGCGACAGAGCAAGACTGTCTCCAAAAAAAAAAAAAAAGAAAAGAAAGGACCCACAGACAGACCACAGGCCAGCCACAAGGCCAAAATCCTGACCCTGGCCTGCTTTTGTATGCCCAGCCAGCCAAGAATGGTTTCATATTTTTAAAGGACTATGAAAGACAAATCAAAAACAAAAACAACGCACAAAGAAGAATATGCAACAGAGAAGAGATCTCGTGTGGCCCACAGTGTGAAACTCTTTTCCTAACAAACCTCTGTCATCCCACTCTGCTGGGTCACGGCCCAGCCTTCAAGCCCCAGGCAAGTGCTCCAGGGCTGGCTCCCCCTGGGGTTCTACAGGGAGAAGTCCCGAACAACAGAAGAGGCTCTGATGGGGCAGACGGCCCAAGGTGAACGCAAGTGCCGCCCTCTCCCCTCAGCACATCCGAGCCACTGGGTCGTCCTCAGCCCTCCGTCAGGGCCGGGCTGCAAAGCTCTGCTCCCAGGAGCACTTGGCTCTGGCCTTTCAGGAAAGGTCTATTTATAGAATGGGCACATCAACACAACTTGAAACACCTACCTTGAGTTATTCAAAAGAGGCCCTTACAGGCTTCCTACCCACCTCCACGCTGCGCCCTCGCCACACATCGGTCTCCACCCAGTGACCAGCCTCTTGCCTTTTTTTTGGTACCAGGAAGACCACTGAGAGGTGAATCCAGGGGGACTTCCTGGGTCCAGTGGGGACTTACGGAACTTTCCTGTCTTACAAGAGGTTTATAAAATGCACCGATGAGCGAGCTGTAAAACGCACCAATCAGCGCTCTGTAAAACGCACCAATCAGCGCTCTGTAAAATGCACCAATCAGCAGGATTCTAAAAGTAGCCAATCCGGGGAGGATTGAGAAAAGGGCATTCTGATAGGACAAAAATGGAACATGGGTGGGGACAAATAGGGCAATAAAAGCTGGCCACCCCCAGCACACAGTGGCAACCCATTTGGGTCGCCTACCAGGCTGTGGAGTGTTTGTTCTTTCCCTCTTCACAATAAACCTTGCTACCATTCACCCTTTGGGTGCTACCATCTTTAAGAGCTGTAACACTCACCGCAAAGGTCCGCGGCTCCATTCTTGAAGTCAGTGAGACCACGAACCCACCGGCAGGAACCAGCTCTGGACACACCACCGCTCCCTACTGCCTCCCCTCCCACTCACCTTCCTTCCTTACCTTATGTGGGTGTATGGTTCTAGACAAGGTGTGCAGGATTGGCACTGCTCATTCTCTGTGCCTGGCCTGCTTTTCTTTTCTTTCTCTCTGTCTTCGCTTTTCTTTTCTTTTCTTTCTTTCTTTTTCTTTTTTTCTTTTTTTTTTTTTTTATTTGAGACAGTCTCACTTTGTCACCGAGGCTGGAGTGAAGTGGTGCGACCTGGGCTCACTGCAATCTCCACCTCTCAGGTACAAATGATTCTCCTGCCTCAGCCTCCCACGTAGCTGGGACTAAAGGTGCCTGCCACCACGCCTGGCTAATTTTTTTGTATTTTTAGTAGAGATGGGGTTTCACCATCTTGGCCAGGCTGGTTTTGAACTCCTGACCTCAAGTGATCGTCCTGCCTAGGCCTCCCAAAGTTCTAGGATTACAGGTGTGAACCACCGGGCCCAGCCTGGCCTGCTTTTCTTACCTGGCCTTTGCTTCAGCTGGCCTTACCCCAGCGTGCCCTTCCCCACCCAATTTGCTGCTGAATGCCTTCCAACTTATAAAATTCAGTTAGAATTGGAATGCCACTCCCTATTTTCTGTGTGTGTGTGTGTGTGTGTGTGTGTGTGTGTGTGTGTGTGTATTTGCTGTTAGACTGTGAGCTATAAGCTCTTCAAGGGTGGAAACGGTTGGTTTCCTCTCTACACCCCCTGGCCTAGCACAGAGCAGGCACACGTAAGTGCCGAGGACGTTTGGAAAATAAATGAACAGCCATACTTTACTTCCCCACATGGTCCGTGGATGTGAGGCCTCTGCCTGCTCCAGCAGGGACCCCAGCATGTGCCTTTTTGTCCCTGAGAAGATGCTTTGCCTGAAATAACTGAGTGATTGGCATGGGGTGAGCATAGGTAGGGCCACACAGGTGAGGAAAGGCAGGCGTTACCTTCATCAGCATCTTCCCCGTCCATTTGGCTGCCACAACAGGACACCACAGACTGGGTGGCCTGTAAACAACAAGGTTATTGCTCAACGGTTCTGGAGGCTGGGAAGTCCAAGATCAAGGCACCAGCAGATTTGCTGTCTCCTGAGGGCTCATTTCCTGGTTCATGGACGGTGCTTTCTCACTGTATCGCAAGGGGCCAAGGTAGCTCTCTGGGGTCCCTCAGGTAAGGCACTAACCCCGTCATGAGGCCTCAGTCATCATGACTGAGTCACCTCCCAAAAGGCCCTGTATCCTAATAGCATCATCTTGGGGGCTAGGATTTCAACATATAAATTTGGGGGGACACAAACATTCAGCCCACAGCCCCAGCTCCCTTGTCTCTGCCAGAGAGTTAACAGGAACAGGGCGACGGGGTAGCCTGCTGCCCTCCCACCAGCGCCG
This sequence comes from Homo sapiens, assembly GCF_000001405.40. Classification (NCBI taxonomy): domain Eukaryota; kingdom Metazoa; phylum Chordata; class Mammalia; order Primates; family Hominidae; genus Homo; species Homo sapiens. The sequence goes on along the minus strand of NC_000005.10, from coordinate 180,358,548 downwards.
TCTCTCAGTCAATGCTTAGTGCAATATCAGATTAGTGCTTGTCTCGCACAAACCCCCACCCTTTCCTGGCCAAGCAGAGTGGAAAGCCCAAGCTTTCCAGGATGCCGTGGCACAGAGGTGCATCAGGGACAGCGCTGACGACTCTGGGCCAGATCCCAGCTTTGCAGCACAATTTGAAGTTCTCTATAACCAGAAGTCAAATTCCAGCTACAAAACAATGTTTGCAGAATGACTGTATTGTTGTTTAAATACTGACTATAGATGCAGAGAATAACATTTGGTGGTAGGTAAAAAGATGAGTTATTAACCCTTTAAAAATATTTTTATTCTCTGTTTCCTAAAATGAACATGTATTTCTTCTGTAAGAAAAAAATTGGCCGGGTGCAGTGGTTCAGGCACTGCGTGGTGGCTCATGCCTGTAATCCCAGCACTTTGGGAGGCCAAGATGGGTGGATTGCCTGAGCTCAGCCTGGGCAACATGGTGAAACCCTGTGTCTACTAAAATACAAAAAAAATCAGCTGGGCATGGTGGCAGGCACCTGTAATCCCAGCTACTCAGGAGCCTGAGGCATGAGAATTGCTTGAATGGGGAAGGCAGAGGTTGCAGTGAGCCGAGATCCTGCCGCTGCACTCCAGTCTGGGCAACCAAGTGAAACTTTGTCTCAGAAAGAAAAAAGTTATAAAATGTATATGTAGCCCTATTAAAAAAACAAACCCTACAATCATAAAAGAATGCATGAGTTCAGCTTTGTGGCAGACCTCCTCCAAAGGAGGAGAGAGATAGGTGGTGAAATAGGACCATGTCACCCAGGAACTTGAGAGAGAGGACCACTGTGCACCCTGGCCTGCCCTCATAACAGGGATGGGGTGTGGCCCTCTCTCACCTCAGCCCCGGGGTGGTGGTGGGGGCCGGTGGTGAAGCCATCTGGGGGACAAAACCTGAGCTACGCGACCCTGCCCCTTTCTCAGGCCCCAGACGATCTTCTTACTCCTTGCAAGGATTCTTGCCTTGGTTTCCTGCCTGGCTCTCCACTTCTGGCTGTCCTTGAATCCTGGCCCCAGATCAGTTTTCTCAGATTTTTCCTAACCAGGGATTTTTCTTTTTTCTTTTCTTTTCTTTTTTTTTTTTTTTTTGTGACCTGCTCATGCCCCATCCACCCTATCCCAGCCTCTCAAGAGGGGCGGGGGGTGGAGCGGTGTGGCTTCCTGCCCCATGCCCAGGTCTGGCCCTTAGTCCTGCTACCCCTGGTGCCCCATCATCTTAAGTTTGAGCTGAGGATCGGCCTCCCTGAGGCAGGACACTTTGTCCGAGTCATGACACCTGTGATGTCTCCCCTGGGCTCCCTGAACCCCACCCACTGCCCACTGTGGGCAGCACTCAGAGGTTCCCCTAGGATCTCCCTCCCCACGCCACGGAGTGATCCAGTGCAGGACTCCCAGCTGCAGGCCTCAGGGACCTGCACCCCCAGCCCCCTGGGCCCTCTGCTGAAGTTCAGGAGGCCCTGTGGTCCCTGGCCTGGGCTGTGTCTCTAGGCCACAGTGAGATGTGCCTGGCATTTCTACATCTGGAAGGGCAAAGGGAGATCAGGAAGAACAGGTGACCACTCCAGGTCACCCTGCAGCCATAGCCCAGCCAGATTCAGGCAGAGCTGGGCTGGTGGAAACTGGTAGAGAGGACCCTGATGACAGCATGAGAATTGGCGAAAGTCCAGCCTGGATCCCACAGGAGTTGGAGGAGGCCTTCATCCTACCATGGGCCACATAACCCTCCCCAGACCGTAGTGGAAATGTCACAGGGAAAAGCAGCTGAACAGGGCCTGTGGCCAAGGGATGGCAGGTGTAGTCCTCATCTACCTGGACAGCCATGGGACCCAGCTGGGCAGTTTGTGTTGGGGGTAGAGCCTGGGGGAGGGGAAAAGATCTCTGGGTTGTTCGGGAGAAGCCAGATCAATGAGCAAATCTCCCAACTATCAAGTGCTTGCAAAAGCTGTGTAGGTGAAGCAGCCAGGTCTTTGGCTCACTTGCTGGCCAGAAGGGTGGAGGCACTCCGGGAAAGTGTGGCTGGGGCCAGCGGTGGAGAGCAGGATGGGCAGTGGACACTGGGACCATTAGGAGCAGACTCAGCACCCTGCTCCCCTGTAAGCACAGGTATGGGGTCCAGCTGAGAGAGGCACCTGGGCATGGCTCCCCGTGTAAGCACATGTATGGGGTCCAGCTGAGAGACGCTCCTGGGCACGGCCCTGCATCTTCCCTCCTCCTGGGCCCCCTGATCCAGACCAGGTCTCCTTTCTGGGCTGCCACCGGCTTCCTGCCTACCCACTCCCCTGGGCCTCAGACTTTAGTTCCAGCACGATCCAAGAGTCAGGACTCTACTTGGTTGCAAATGACAGAAGTCACTTCAGAGTACCTCAAGCAAAGATGAGAATTTATTGAGCCCTGATACTGAGAAGTCCAGGGATAAATCCTGGCTTCAGACCTGGCCGAATCCAGGGGCTCTGATGTGTATCGTCTCCATCCTAGATCCATCTGCCTTGCTCCGATTGCCCCGCTCTTCAGTGGCCTCTCTCCACCCCACTGCAAAAGTGATGAGAAGGTCCCAGCATCATCAGGACATTCTCCTACCAGCCACACCACTCAGGAGAGAATAAGCCATCTTTTTTACTTAAAAAAATTATTTTGTAGAGACAAGGTTTTAATATGTTGTCCAGGCTGATCAAGCAGTCCTCCCGCCTCCTGAGTAGCTGAGACTACAGGCACGTGCCATCACACCTGGATTTTTGTTTTGTTTTGAGACAGTCTTGCTCTGTCGCCCAGGCTGGAGTGTAGTGGTGCAATTTTGGCTCACTTCAGCCTCCACCTCCCAGTTTCAAGCCATTCTCGTGCCTCGGCCTCTCGAGTAGCTGGAACTACAGGTGCACATTACCACACCTGGCTAATTTTTGTGTTTTTAGTAGAGACGGGTTTTGCTGTGTTGCCCAGGCTGGTCTCGAACTCCTGGGCTCAAGCAATCCCAAAGATCTCAAACTTTTGCCCCCCAAAGTGGTGGGATTACAGGCATGAGCCATTGCACCCAGCGTGCCTGGCTTTTTTTTTTTTTTTTTTTTTTTTTTTTTACTTTTTGTAAAGATGGGTCTCCCTGTTGCCCAGGCTGGTCTCCAACTTCTGGCCTCAAGCAGTTCTCCCACCTCAGCCTCCCAAAGTGCTGGGATGACAGACCCAAGCCACTGTACCAGGCCAAGTTCATCTTTTCTGCTGGTTTCCCTCATGTGCTGGAGCAGGTCATCAACGTCCCAGCCTGGGCCATATGCTGACCTCTGAACCACTGCCCAGGCTGTGTGGCCAGGCCCAGGCCATCAACCTCCCAGATGACTCTCAGAGGGTTCTCAAAGCAGGAGTGATGCTAGGCCGGCAGCTGCTACAGACACATCCCCATGGGTGGTAGTGTGCACTCATGCCGTTCCTCACCGTGGACCTGTGACTCCTCCAGGAGGATAAAGGACAGATTTGGACCCTGCTAAGACCCCAGGGCTCCTGGGGTCTTGGTGCTATCAGAGGGCCTGTTGACATCACCCTGTCCCCGCCTCAGTTACAACAGTGGAGGCCAGTCTGGGCCAAACAACCTGATCTCCACATTCAAGTTCTAGCCCTCATCCAGGGGACCTTTGCACTGCCTGCTGCTCCCTCCTTCCTGGCTTCGCTAGGCTCTGGACCACCTGCACCAGCGCAGCCCTGCCCAGTCCCAGGCAGAGCCTGGCACCCTCTCCACCGCTGGCCCAGCCCCCTCCTTGTATCCTACCTGGAATTTTTAGCTCTCTGTGTAACCACGAGCTTAGTGTCTGCTTCCCCTTCACTTGTAAGTGCCAGGAGGGCAGGGCCAGATCTGTTCTCATTCATCAATAAGTCTCTTGCACCTGCACCCTGACAGGTGTGAAGTGGGTTCTTAGGAATGAGAGAAGGAAGGAAGGAAAGCGACCCTGCATAGTGGAGGGTTGGGGGCAAACGCTGCGGCTCCTGAATCGCTCTGAGATTTCCCAACAACAGGACTCACCCAAGCCCCCTCCTTCGCTGTCGTGGAGCCTCAGTTTTCCCAACCCTCCAATGGCACAACCTCCTTCCCCCAGGGCTTGCAGAGTCGCGGTGAAACTAGGGAGGGATTATGTTAGAAAAATGCTCTAGACGAGATGTAAAAATCTTTTTTTTTTTACACGACTGAGGAGGATCCGTTTAGAATTTCAGGATTTTTTTAAGAAAAAAAAAAACTTCAAAGTGCGCAAACGTTGGGCCGGTTCTCGTGACCTTCCTCGGGAGACGAGGGGCCCAGAGTGCAGGGGGAACGGGAGGGACGGCCGGGAACCAGGGCGGAGAAACGCGGGCCTTGGTGCCTCACTGGGGGGTCGGATTCCGACCCCAGGCGTAGGAACCCCCGGGTCCCTCGCGGGCCTGCAGCGCGAGGCAGATCTGGGGAGGGGGCAGCTCGGCGCGGGTGGGGTCGGGGCTTCCTGGGGCGCCTCCAGCTTCGTTCACAACCTGCGGAACCCTCGCCTTCAAGCTCGGGCTCCGCGGCAAATCCCAGGGTCGAATTCTGCCACCGCCGCGGCGTCCGGTTTTGGCAGAGTCCTTGTCTGCCTCCGGGAGCCTCGGTTTTCTCGTCTCTCCGCCAAGCCCGGGCGTTCTCTCCACGCAGGGTGAGGGCCAGGCTTAGAGGTCTGCGGAGCTCTGAAACAAGCCTGTCACTCAGATGGGAGCGCGGCAGGAACAGCGGCTCACGCGGGTTTCCGGAGCGCGCGAGTGATGCCGGACCCCTCGCTCTGCCCCTTACGCGGCCCGTCTGACTTCTCAGCACCCCGTGGGAGGGAGCTTCCCTGGGTAGCCCCGTTTCACAGACGGGAAAGCGGAGGCACAGCGCGATCGGGCCCTGCCCGGCTTCCACGCCTACTCTGGTTGAGTCGGGGTCTGAACTCGGGCCGTTGGTTGCCCTAAGCCCCGCTCCGGGATCTGGCGCCCGGCGCCCCAGCCTTACACGCCCGACCCGCGCCTGGGAGCCGCCCCTCGGCCCCCCTCCCTGGCTCCTGGGGGCCGGGTCCCGTCGTTGTCACGACAACCGGGGGCCAATGGGAGCAGGCGGGCGGGGGAAGCCCCGCCCCTTCCCCGCCCCCTTCCCCGCCCTCTCGGAGGGCTCCGGGTTATAAGGGCTGGAGGCCGAGCGGACGGGAGCTGGAGCCCGCGGAGCCCACGGAGCCCACGGAGCCCACGGAGGAGCCCACGGAGGAGCCCCAGCGTCCGAACGGGCAGACCCCCTCGAGCCGCGAAGGAGCCCGAGAAGCAGCCACGATGTGCGGTGAGTGCCGCGCCCGCCCGAGCCGCCTCCTCCACGCCGTCCGCGGGTCCCGGCGCCGCAGCCTCTCCGCGCCTCCGCCCGCAAGCAGGCGCCGAGGACCTGGCTGGGGGCGCCGATCTGCCCCGGGCCCCTACCGAGGGGCTGTCGTCGGCCGGGCCTGGCTGCCCCTCACCCGCGTTCCCCGAGTGGCCGTCTCGGAGGTGTGGGTGGGGGATGCCCAACCCGACTCCTGGTCTCGGACACAGTGAGGGGGACCGAGGCCCGGTCCCCACGGAGGGGAGGGACCTGGTCCGGTCCGGCCTGGACCCCGTAACAGAGGGGTCCCCACCCCATGCCGACCGAGGTCGCTCTCCTCCACGTCTCCCAGTCGCCCACAAAGGCGGCCACGCGCAGGCCGGCGCATCCCGAGTGCGGGGCGCCCATCCCGACTCAGCCCGCCGCGCCCACCGAGGAGAGGAGAGGCGACCCCGCCCCGCCGTCCCCGCAGCCCGCCCGGTCGCCCCCGCTGCGTCAGTGCCTCAGGCAGGGCCTGCGCGTCCTCCTCGCGACCCCAAAGGAACGTCTGGTCCCTAGAAGGGTCGCTGCCGCGTTACCGCCTCTTTGCGCGGGGAAGAGGCAGTCACTGCCCGAACCTCGGCCCGAAGCCACGAGAGGGAGTCCGGGGCGGGGAGCGGGGCCGGGCGTCCGATTCCCGCGGCGCTCCCGCGCTGTCCCGCGTGGCTGCGGGACCGTGGGGAGGGCGGCCGCGGCCCGGAGCGCACATCTGCAATTCTTTACTCTCCTGGCTGGGCCGCCTCCGCTGGCCGGGAGAGAGCCGGGAACTTCTGCTGGGACAAAAGGTCACTGTGCTCTTTTTTTTTTTTTTTTTTTTCCTTGAGTAGGATTCGGTTACCCATTCCAGCCTCCTGTGGCTGGAGGACCTGGAGGAACTTTCGAAGCCATGAAAGGCCTCTCTCTGACTTTGCTGAGGGCCGGGGTGGGGTGCGCCCGCGGTGAGCCCTGGCCGAGGTCTGTGCAGGCCTCTTGTCTCGGAGGCCAGCTGCTCGGCAGAAGGGAACGACCTACGGCGGAGCGGGCAGCGTGCTTCGGGATGCCGCCTCACCCAGGCTGAACAGGCATCCGTGGAAATTCCTGAACCCTCAGCTAAAATCTCGTGCTCCCAGACGCCATTCTCCATGTGTAGAGCCACCTTTGGGTGTTTCTGGGGGCAGAGATGAGGCAAAGGTGGTAGTTTTGCCAGATGTCCAAGCCCTGATGTTCCACACCTCTCAGTGTAGCATTCAAGACCCTTGGCCAAAACTGGTGGCCTTGGGGCCAGACTTGTGCAGGAGACCCTTGAACCAGGAGGGTCTGCCCACAGCACCAGAGGCTCCCCTTCCCCTTCCTTTCAGATGCTCCTCTGCCCCCACTGCCACCCCTGCCTGTCATCCTCCTTCCTACTGGCATCTTGCTTTTTCCCAAGTCTCTCTGAGCTTTGGGGGGGCTCTACCTCCTCCAGCTCACAAAATCACAAGTGTTTTTGTTCTGCTTCTTAAAGGGACACACACGCGTTGTCTCCTAGGGAAAGGTTGAGCTTTGGGGTGTGACCACCTGTATCTTCAGATTTTCTGGTACTGACTTGTGGTTGTATGTGAGAAGGAGCTTGAGGTCCCCAAAGGACACCCAGGGCTCAGGAGTGGCTGCGGTCCATGGGGGTGCCCACTCGGAGCCAGAATCAAAGAGTGCGTGCTGGCTTAGGTGCCTTCTCAGAATTCCCAGATTTGCTGATTTGGGGCTGGGGGCAGGGTGGGGGAAGTGGGGAGGGCACAGCTCAGCAGGAAGTCGTGGAATCCCTGCATGGGAAAGTTATTTCCTTTTCAAGAACATCAGGAGAAAGTTTCAACTTGGTGCTAACGTGTCCTTAACATCTCTCTGACACTTGCTTAAGTATCCTGTGCAGAGGGGAAGCCATTCCTGGCTCAGAGCAGGCAGCAGCAGCTGGCTAGAATTGAATACATTGGTCTGTTTGGGGGGGATGATGGTCTGAGTATGTATGACAAGTGATACTGATTTTCCTTTTATGGTTGTTTTCTTTTGGCATGAATTCATTTAAATTTTTGAAAATTTAATCAAATTCTGCAGAAGAAAAAGTAGTGATTATGCTATTAGTACAAGGATACTGCAAGAATCGTGAAGATGCTCCTAGAAAGAACCAGATAAGCTCTTCACTTTACGCTGGGGAAGCTGAGGCCCTGCGAAGTCTGTGCGCACCTGGCGTCTGAGCAGGCCTCGGGTCTCAGATCTCCTGGGCCGTTCCCTCAGGGGCGGAGACCTAAGGCCCTTCCTTATCACTTGGCTGATGACACTGCTGAGATTATGTCTTGCTGTCCTTTATCCTGCTGCTTCTCTCATGGGAAGCCAGGACTCGGCAGTAGTTGATCCTCTACAAACAGCAGATGATTCTCAAAAACTTTCAGTGCACTGAGAATTTAGCTGAAATGACACTTTGGTTTTATTGACATCTGAAAGTTGCTGGCATTTTGCTGACTTTCTGCGACAGAAAATTTACAATATTTCCTCCCTGTCTCTCTCCTTTCCTTCTCTGCTTCCTTTTTCATTCAGCCACTAGTGGAAATGCCCAGTGTTTTCCAGGCCCTGGGGGACTCGAAGATCTCATGGGTGTGGTCCTCCCCTCAAAGAAGGGGCAGGTGAGCCGCAGGGCTAGTCCAGAGACTGGTCACCAGCAGGGACGGGATGCCGATCAGGGCAGTGCTGCTGTGGAGGGAGGACCTTGAGCACGGGCTACAGCCTGGTAGAGTACTGGCCGAACAGGGAAGACAGACATCTTTTTGTTTGGTGCACAGGGTTTAAACCTTTTCCTCTATTAGTTACCAAAGTACAAAATTGGGAGATTTCACATAAGTAGGTGGGAGTTTTGGCTTCTCTTGACAAAATCTGAAGATGAGCAACCTGGAGTCCTTATTTCCAAATAGGGCCTGGGTGACCCCTTGGGTGATGGACACAAACTCGCCTGTTCTCCCAGTCCTTCCCAGCTGCCTCCCTCACTCATGGGACTCTGCACAACAGAGGCAGGAGCTGACCTTCCTAGGAAGAAGGGGAGGGACCTGGGGCAGTGCCACAAGGACCCAGACACGAGCACGGGCCCTGCAGAGAGGAGGGGGTGGCAGGCACGCTGGGCTGGGGCACAGCATGAGCTGGAGTGTGGCAGCATGGACCAGGCATGCATGGGGATTTGGCAGGAAGGATTTGCGCTTCCCATCCACGAATTTGTAAACTGTCCCTGTGCGTCCCATACTGCACTTAGTAATCTGTGAGGGAGAAAAAAAAAAAAACAATCACTGTGAAGAGCTGGAGAATTCTTAGTTCTTGCCAGAAGGTGAAGCCCTTGCCTTGACATCACCGTCTTTTGTCCTGGTTGGTGTGTTCGTCTCCACTGGCTGCTGTAACAAATGACTGCAAACTTACTGATTTAAAACAACAGAAATGTATTCGCTCACAGTTCTGGAGACCACAAGTCCAGAATCGGTTTTACTTGGCCCAGATCAAGGTACCTTCAGGGCTGAGCCTCCTCCAGAGGCTCTGAGGAGAATCTGTCGCCGGCCTCTCCCAGCTCCTGGGGCTGCCGCGTTCCTTGGCTTGTGGCTGTGTCGCTCCAGTCTCTGTGCTGGCTGCAGCCCTCCACTGTCTCCTCAGGGGATTCCCAAGTTCAGAAAAACCTTCTTTTTATAACTTTATGGTATAGCATCAGTAAACAGTGCTTTTCAATTGAGAGATTATTTTTGTATCTAGCAAAATTAGCTTATAAAGAGTGATTAATTTGAGGTTATAAGTTTGAGAGAAAATTCTGAAAATGAATTTCACAATAAAACAATTAAACTATTTAGGTATTTTATTTTTATTTTTAGAGGCAGAGTCTCACTCTGTTACCCAGGCTGGGATGCAGTGGGGCAATCATGGCTCACTGCATCCTTGAACTCCTGGGCTCAAGCCATCCTCCCACCTCGGCCTCCCAAAGTGCTGGGATTACAGGCATGAGCCACTGTACCTGTCCCCTTCTTTTCTTAAGATTTTTTTTTCTTTTAATTAAATATATATCACTTCCCTCTTTGTTTTTGGTGAAACTGTAAGAATGAAAGGGACACTGGCAACTTTTCTATTAAAAAATAGAAATGGCCGGGCACGGGGACTCACACCTGTAATCCCAGCACTTTGGGAGGCCGAGGTGGGTGGATCACGAGGTCAGGAGATCGAGACCATCCTGGCCAACATGGTAAAACCCTGTCTCTACTAAAATACAAAAAATTAGCCAGGTGTGGTGGCACGCACCTGTAGTCCCAGCTACTCGGGAAGGAGAGGCAGGAGAATTGCTTGAACCCAGGAGGCAGAGGTTGCAGTGAGCCGAGATCGTGCCACTACACTCCAGCCTGGCGACAGAGCAAGACCCTGTCTCAAAAAAAGAAAACAAAAAAAAAAAAAAAGAAAAGAAATGTCCTGTCCAGGTTACCACAGGAAGCAGAGTCTATTATCTCATGGATTCCAATGGTGAGGTCACTTTAACTCCTGGGGTCCCAAAGAGGCCTGGGGCAGTCTGGGGCTGTCTCCAGGGGAGCCAAGTCCCCTTCTTACCCTGAGCCAGGTGCCGCGTCTGCTCAGGGCCCCCGCCAGGCCCGCAGGCTCCTCTGTCTTTCTGTAAGAGCCTGGCGTGGGATCACATGCATCCGCGGCACCTCCAGCTTTGATCTTGTTTCTGCAAGGAGGTGGCAGGAATTGTCATCCCTGCTTCACCAAGTGACCTTTCCCAGTGTATGAGAGGCCACAGCTCCTCAGCAGCCCTTGCCCAAGGCCCAGGGGACTCTCCACACCTGTGGGCCTCACCCAGGAGAGTGGACCTGTCCCTCTTCCCCCAACACACACAGGCAGGCCCAGGCACACACGTGCACACGCTCGGGAATTTCACGAGCCCTCATTGAGGCAGACATTCAACTGGCCGTACTCTTCTGTTGAGGCAGGAAGTAATCCAGTTTGGGACCTGGGATGATACCTAATCTCTAGGAGGCTCATGGACTATAAAGGTCAGCCCCTTCAGTTCGGAGAAGCAACAGATGGTGGGAGAAAGACAGATCTCTGAGGGGTGAGTCCTGGCCTGGGTGGGTGGTGACATAGCTTCCAGAGCCAACCTGTCCTGTGTGGAGCACTGGCTGGGCCTCTCCCTGGAACGGTCCCCTCACTCAGAGTGAGGGCTGGGCTTTCGTTGGGAAGCCGATGCTTGGAAAGTTGGAGAGATTTTTCAAAACAAGCGTCACCAGAATCAGAACGTGGGCCCAACCTGGCTGCTGCGAAGTGGTGTCTTCCCCATCCCCCAGGCCGCAAATCATCCCTCCCCTCCACCCCCACGCTCAGCACTCCAGGGGCTGTAGAGGAAATCCCAGGAATTCAGTGCCCTAGTGTGGCTGACCTTCTGGCTGGGTGTCCAGGGAATATCATCTCCCTGCGCTGGCCATTGTCGTTATCTGTCACTTGGGGGTTGAACCCTGAGCTTCAGAGGCCCTGCCTGCGTGCCCCTTCATGATGTCTTTGCTCCTGACTTCCTGTGTGATCTCTCGGGCCTTGTGCAGAGAAAGTGCTGGAAGCCCCAGAATATAGCAGTGAGCCGGGGCCAAGAGGCTACAGTCTCCTCTCGGAGGGCTCATGTCGAATCCCTTCTGGAATCCCCTTGAGTTTTTCTCGGTCCCTCTCCTTCTGGGACCTTTCCCGGTTCATTTTATCTATCAATTTTGAGGATAGGGCCCTGAAAGGCTGTCTGGAAGCTCTGGGTGGGTGACCACAGGGCACATGACCAAACTGGGTGGTGGGGCCAGGGCAGCCTCTGCCCCCAGGCCGGGCCTTTCTCCAAGCCACCTGGGCTCTCCTGCTGGTAGGAAGGATGCTTGGCCCAGGGCCATCTTTGCAGAGGTTGCAAAGTGCTCCTTTTCTTTAGAAAGATCTCCAGGCTCCTGTATCTCAGACTTTCCATAAAGCCTGCATTTTCAGGCTCTCCTGCCTTCGGCTCTCCTGGCCTCTCAATCCCAACCCTCTGCAGGCTCTTGGGAACCTGAAGGCACCTCCCTGTCCAGCCCCTCTGGGCGCTCAGCATCCCCCACCTGGCTGGGTCCATCCCCTGTCTCTTCAATGTGAGAAATAAGACTGCTCCCAGGTTTGCTAGGCCTGATGTCTGTTCCCTCTCAGTTCTGCAAGGAGATTTCCAAGCTAAGAAGAGTAACAGAAAGGGGAAAACTTTCCCCCAAAGAAGTTTGGTGTTATTTACTGCCCCGTTCTCAGCTCATTTAAAATCCTGTCGCCTGCCAGTGATGCCTTTCTTACGCCGTGGGCAGCCCTGGGAGTGGAGGCTAGGAAAGAGCAGTAGATCAAGGTAGAAAGTGACAGATGCCTTGAAAAGGGGACGGAAAGTTGGAAAAAGGGGTTCAGAGGAGGGAAAAGATCTTCATCTGGGGTAGGGGGTTGGAGAAGGCATCACATGTGCATAGGCCTGGGGGCCCCAGGGGCGCACGCACTGGGCTGAGGGCACCCTGCAGGAGTGGGACCCAGAGGGCGGAAGCTGCAGGGTGGCATGGGGAGCAAGGCGGGCTCAGGCCAGACAGCAGGAGGGGTTGACGTCACGCGGTGGGCCCGCGGGGCAGAGAAGACGAGAGAGGGATGTAGCTGGAACCTGCCTTGCCGTGGTCACCGAGGCCCTGGTGGGGTGGGGGCTGAACAGGAGGAGAAAGGTGGAGTTGGAAGCTGGACTGTCCCGTGGTGGGGCTTGGCTCTCAGGGGGCAGCACCTGTCCTGGACCCATCTGGTGCTAGGCGGGCATCTCCTCAGAAGCCAGGGACCCTCTGTGTGAGCTATACCTTTCTTCTTGGGATAGGTTTCTATGCTGATTGTGGGGAGGTGGGGGTAGAAGTGGTGAGCCCAGGCTTGCAAAAAGGCAGACCTGGCTGTGAATTCCTCAAGTCTTTGGCAGTGGAGCCTCCGATGCCATCTCTATCCCTGGGAACCACAGTCTCTTCACACAGGATGTCATGAGGATTAGAGGAGGTGAAGCTCGGGAAGGGTTGGCATGCGGGGAGCCACTGTAGATGGTGGTTTACCCAGCAGGGTTCTGGGAGCCTTCCCTAGGCCCTGGCTCATTTGATTAGAAGGCTGTCCTCATGCCAGTCCTGGGATCCTCATGGTGCATGGGGCCGGGGGTGTTGTGCGGGGGGATGTAAGCCTCTGTGTTTGATTATCTTGGGGTTAACCGAGAGTTCTGGTGGCACCGTGCTCCCATTGTAAGGGTCTGGCACTCAGGGACCTCCTGCCTCTGTGTCCCTCTTGTCCTTGCTGTGGGTCCCAGTGAGCGGAGCTGCTTATGCTTGGCTGAACGTGGCTGTCTCAGACCCAGCTCAAAGGCTACCTTCTCTGGCATTCCTCCATCTGTTCATTCATTCACTCAACATGGATTTATTGAGCACCTAAGATGTGCCAGGCCCTGGGCCAGGTGCTGGGGACTCAGCAATGGATGAGACAGATGTGGTCCCATCCTCCAGAAGGTTACAATCCAGCGGGGAGCCGAAGAAAAAGACAAGGAAGCAAGTGCAGCGTGGAATAACCAGGGCTATGTGGCTGGAGAAGGTGGTGGGAAAGATCTGCTAAAACCTGCAGAATGGGTCAGAGGCGCCTTTGCGAAGAGCTAGCAAGAGCCAGCCTTGCAAAGAGCTGCCTACTCCCACCCCAGCGGGAAGCCCTTTCCCACCTCCCCTGTGGGCTTGGGAGGTCCCTGTGCATCCCTGTCCTTCCCTGGAGCGCTCAGTGAGGCCCCCCGATGGGTCCATCCCAGTAGCTTGCAGCACCTAGTACAGCAACGCGGCCTTGTGGGCCTGAGAACTGCTTACAGATGAATTAAATCTTGACCAAGCCACAACCAAGTAACGCATTTGGTTTAACCATTATTTCCCCAGGCAGAAGGCCAAGATGAAATGACAGTAAATGGTACTATTTCCCCCTTGGTTTTATTGAATGATAAATCTCTCAAGGGATAATTTCTCAAGCTCCTTGCCCTGTGGCAGGCACTATTGTAGCCATCACCCTGTTTCACTGACAGGGAAACTGAGGTCCGAACATTCAGTGGCTTGCTGGAGAGTGCACTGAAATCAAGGGGTGGAGCTGGGGTTCGAGGTGGGTTCCGGCACTGGCCACGGCCTCTGTGCTTCTGGGTATGCCTTGGCTGGTGAATGGCAGCAGCAGGGAGGAAGCCAACCCAGGCGGGTGGCCCTGGGCTGGTGTTTTTAAGGCTGGGGCATGTGCTTAGGTTGCCCCTTATTACAGCCCTCTTATGGCCGTTGCTCTTCCAGGGGAGTGGAACAGGGGACCAGCCAAGTCAGGTGGGCCCGGCCCCTCTTGTCGAGGGGCAAGAAGGCCTGGCCAGGGCAGGCCTGGCGTCCCCTGCAGAGGGAAGGGCCATTGTGGCCCTGGTGCTTCGGACATGCCAGGAGGGTTCAAGCACCGGTGGAAAGCAGAACCAGCCAGAGGTCCGGCCTGGCTGGGGGTCCCAGGTGCCGCACGGTCACTCCTCCTGTACCCAGAAGCTCTCAGGTCCCACTCAGCAGAATGCCTGTGCCACAGGAAATCCAGGTGAACCAGGCAGGTCTGCGTCATGTACACCACTGTCCAAACAGTCGGTCCATGTTAACCCTCAGGCCTTGGCTAGGACATCCCCCTGTGGATAGAATGAAGTCTTTGCTTATTTAGACATTATCTGGCATCTAGATAATGGTGATGTACTCATCACCACCTAATTCACATAGGGGCACATGTGCCATGGCACACGGTGAAATGTCTTAACCATCTAAAGAGGACACGTGCAGTGGAAAGGAAGTTTCTGCTCAACATCCAGTGACCTCAGAGGCTACCTTTGACTGCCCTCTGGGCGTGGTGCCCTTCTAGAAATGCTCCATGCTCCTCCCCCAGCCCTTGCGTAATTTACTCATATTCTGCAAGCTTCTTTTTCCCTTGACACATCTTGGAGATTTAAATTGCCTTCCAAGAGAATGCACAGCTTTCCCTTGCTCTCTGTTGAGGGCTGCCTGTAAAAGGCCCTGCTGTGTGGCTGCACTGTCCCTTGCCTGTCCCTTGCCTGTCGCTTGCCAGACATCAGACTGTCACTAGTCTTTGGCAACCACAAGAGCCCTGAGCAGCTGTCCTCGCACGTGTGCACATGCATCTCTGCAAAAAGTCCGCTGGATACCTTCTTAGAAGCCCAACAGCTCTGGTCCACAGATGTGTACATTTTTAATTTTGAGAGATTGCCAGATTGCTTTCCAAAGAGGGTATGTGAGTTTAAACTCTCACTGTCCAACTGTTTGATCTTTACCGACCTCATGGGTTTAAAAAAGTGGATTCTCACTGTAGCTTTTATTTATGGATGGAAGGAATTCCAAAAGGGAATTCTGATGTAAATAGCAGGAGAAATTCCTGGGAAAGGAGCTTCATTTTATTCTGTGTTTTATTTTTAAATGATAAGAGCACAGCGTGAACGCTATTTTATTCACTTGAGTGCAGTAGAGTGCAGGGAGGATCCAGCCAAGAGGATGAGCTGCAAAAGCAAAGAAACAGAGCTTCCTTCATGAAAGAAGTGACCGAAGGGATGTCACTACGCAAGAGGGCTCGTGGTGAAAATGAGATTTATGCTTTCTTGCGCCAAGATGGTGAAAACCACACTCCTTGGCAGCTTTTCTCACTGCAGTCAGCTCCCCTGCTGTGCCTGAGTGGGCACCGGGCCTCCTGGCTGGGTACGGACACAGCTGGTGGTCCTGAGGACAAGGACCCCTTATGCCCCCGCTGCTGTCCAGGAGGCTGTCGTGGGTCTGAAAGTCAGCGGTGCCTTGCGGAGCGTGCCGAACGTTCTCGCCTGACGTGTGCAGGAGTGAAGTGTGGCTGGGAGGTGGGGGAGCTGCAGGGGGGAGTTGCAGAGCTGACTCATTATGCACTCGGGAACATCATTCAGATGCAAAACCTTTTCAGAGTTGGCAATGGGTACATTTCTGAACCTTTGTGTCATCTGTGATGTCTGTCTGCTTCCCTTAGGGTGGTACAAGTATAATTCTAGAACATTCCCAGCCCAGGATGCCAGGAAAGTTCAGTGTAAAAGACTCTAACAGATTTTATTGAGTTGTTCCCTCCCTCGCTTAACTGTGGTCTTTACATTGACCACAATTTGACCATGTCCCCACAGGGAACTTTCTGGTTGTTGTTTTTTTCTTTCTTTCTTTCTTCCTTTTTTTTTCTTTTTGAGATGGAGTCTCCCTCTGTCACCCAAGCTGGAGTGCAGTGGCGTGATCTCAGCTCACTGCAACCTCTGCCTCCCGAGTTCAAGAGATTCTCCTGCCTCAGCCTCCTGAGTAGCTGGGATTACAGGCACGCACCACCATACCCAGCTAATTTTTCTATTTTTTAAGTTCAGACAGGGTTTCACCATGTTGGCTAGGCTGGTCTTGAGCTCCTGACCTCATGATCTGTCCAGCTTGGCCTCCCAAAGCGCTAGGATTACAGGCGTGAGCCACTGCGCTGGCCTCTGGTTGTTTTTAGAAGAGTTAATGTTATGAAAAGTTTCACCTAGGCTGGGCACTGTGGCTTATGCCTGTAATCCCAGCACTTTGGGAGGCCAAGGCTGTGGGGATAGCTTGGGCCTGGGAGTTCGAGGTTGCAGTGAGCCGAGATCACAACACTGCACTCCAGCCTAGGCAACAGAGCGAGACCCTGTCTCAAAAAAAAAAAAAAAAAAAACATTTCACCTAAACATGAATGGTGATAATTGCACAACTCTGAATATACTAAACCACTGAATCGCATGCTTTAGATGGCAGGCTGCTACGGTACATGACTTATGTCTCCAGAAAGCTGTTAAAATTTTTTAATTGACATTAAAAGATGTATTAGTCCATTTTCATGCTGCTGATAAAGACGTGCCCAAGACTGGGCAATTTACGAAAGAAAGAGGGTTAATGGACTCATAGTTCCACATGGCTGGGGAGGCCTCACAGTCATGGTGGAAGGTGAAAGGCACATCTCACGTGGCGGCAGACAAGAGAAGAGAGTGTGTGCAGGGAAGCTCCCCTTTATAAAACCATCCGATCTCATGAGACTTATTCACTCTCACGAGAACAGCATGGGAAAGAGCCGCCCCCATGATTCATTTACCTCCTTACACGTGGGAATTGTGGGAGCTGCAATTCAAGATGAGATTTGGGTGGGGACACAGCGAAACCATATCAAAAAATAACTATCTTTTTAAAAAATAAGGTGACAAAAGTACCTCCCATGCCCAGATGTTTGGGGGCTGTCGTGTGAGCCTCTGGAACCATAAATACTCAGCAGCAGTGCTGCGCGGCCCTCACTGGGGACACTTTGGCCCTGCCGGAGAAGGGCCTGAACTGCACACACAGCCCATACATTCAGCTCCTCTCACCTGATCTAAAGATGGCAAGGAAGACAAAAATAGCCTACCGAGAAAATTGCCCTTGGCTGATTTTAAAGGAAAACGCCTGTAACTGCTCAGAAAGCATAGTGTACATATTTTTATATATAAATCCCCCACCTTAATACATATGTGCAAACATATCCTGTGTACAGTAGCTTTCAGTAAGAATTTAAGTATAATTTATAGTACTATTTAATTTTATTGCCTATTTTTGACTGTTTATAGATTAATTAAGTTTATATGATGGGACCCCACTCACTGTTTAGGAATATAACATTCATTTCATTGAAGTTTATCATTTATTCAGATGTAGCATATTGACATGAATCTGATCTTCTTAATTACCAGAGATATTCCAGGTGGTTTCGTATATAATCACAATCAGCTGTCTGTTATCTAGGGGCAGGTTGTCCTCTCTGAGGTTCACCTCTGGAAAAATTTCAATCCTGATCAGACCTTTCTCTCATCCCAGCAAAACATAGTTGGGAAAATAAACCTTCTTGTAACCCTCGTGGCATCCATCCCGGGGTACTGGCCAGTGGGTAGGAGTGTTTAAGTCCTGAGTCGGGGATTCTTGGTTCCACTCTGGCTCTGGACGAGTCACAGGCTCCCCTGTGGCTCTGGTCCAGAAGTTAAGAGGAGGGCCATGGACTAGCCTCAGAGGCTGTTTTGAGCATAGGATGACCCTGTGGGAACTGGTGGCCCAGTGCCCGGCCCACAGGGACTTCTCAGTGAGGCGAGTCGCTGTTGTGGCCTGAGAGTTTGTTCCCCCGTCATTCATCTGTTGAAATCCTCAGCTGCATGGTGGTCTTACTAGGAGGTGGGGCCTTGGGGAGGCGATTAGGTCATAGGGACATGGGCCTCACGAATGGGATGAGTGCCCTTATTTAAAAACTGCGGAGCCAGGCGTGGTGGCTCACGCCTGTAATCCCAGCACTTTGGGAGGCGGAGGTGGGCAGATCATGAGGTCAGGAGATTGAGACCATCCTGGCTAACATGGTGAAACCCCATCTCTACTAAAAATACAAAAAAAAATTAGCTGGGCATGGTGTCGGGCACCTGTAGTCCCAGCTACTCGGGAGGCTGAGGCAGGAGAATAGTGTGAACCTGGGAGGCGGAGCTTGCAGTGAGCCAGGATGGCACCACTGCACTCCAGCCTGGGCAACAGAGCTAGACTCCGTCTCAAAAAAAAAAAAAAAAAACCTGCAGGCCAGGCAGGGTGGCTCACGCCTGTAATCCCAGCACTTTGGGAAGCCGAGGCGGGCGGATGACCTGAGGTCGGGAGTTCGAGACCAGCCTGGCCAACATGGAGAAACCCCATCTCTACTAAAAATACAAAATTAGCCAGGTGTGGTGGCACATGCCTGTAATCCCAGCTACTCGGGAGGCTGAGGCAAGAGAATCGCTTGAACCCGGGAGGCGGAGGTTGCCATGAGCCAAGATCGTGCCATTGCACTCCAGCCTGGGCAACAAGAATGAAACTCTGTCTCAAAAAAGAAAAACAACAAAAACAAAAACAAAAAAAAAAACCTCCAGAGAGACCCTGGCCCCTTCCACCGTATGAGGTTGGAATGAGCAGTCACTGTCTGTGAGGAACGGGCCCTCACCAGACACTGAATCTCTGGCACCTTGATCTTGGACTTCTCGGCCTCCAGAACTGTGAGAATAAACATCTGTGGCTTATAACCCAGGCAGTCTGTGGTATTTTGTTACAGCAGCCCAAGCCAACTTAGGACAGTTACCGTGAATATGCCTGAAACCCAGTGACATTTCTATGACCCATACTATTGCCTCCCTCCAGGGATACAGATACACACTCATCACATATTCTGTTCCACATGTGAACAGGACTGGGTGCCAACACACAGTGAGGAATACAAAGATAGAAGCACCAGCCTGTGCCCTTGGTGGGGACTGTGGGTGTCCCATGACGTGAGAGCACTGAGGTGGCCAGAGCCAGGAGCACACCTGCCCAGGGCGGGGGCTGGAGCTGAGCTTTGAAGTGGGCAGGTTTTCCTGAGCAGTGGGAGCGAGGATGAAAGGACAGAGGGATGATGGGATGAGGATGGGGCATGCACAGGGCAGGAGAGAGGACATCAAGGATCTGTCATCACAAACAAGGAGTGGAGGAATCTGGAAGGCAGAACCAACACAACGGCTAACTTTCTGTTTGGAAAATTATCTTGAAATATGAATACAGAAAGTCAAGTGGAACAAAATCTTCTTGACTCATAGGCCTACCTTGAACATAAGGATTCTGCAGGGGCCAAGGGGCATGAGATGGTTTTATTCTTGCTGTCATAAAAGTAGTGCTTTTTTTTTTTTTTTTTTTTTTGAGACAGAGTCTAGCTCTGTCGCCAGGCTGGAGTGCTGTGGCACGATCTCGGCTCACTGCAACCTCCAGCTCCCTGGTTCAAGCAATTCTCCTGCCCCAGCCTCCCGAGTAGCTGGGGTTAGAGGCACACACCACCACACCCAGCTAATTTTTGCATTTTTAGTAGAGATGGGGTTTCACCATGTTGGCCAGGCTGGTCTCGAACTCCTGACCTCAGGTGATCCACCCACCTCGGCCTCCCAAAGGGCTGGGATTACAGGCATGAGCCACCGCCCCCGGCTCAAGTAGTGCTTATTTAAGGTCAAGTTCCAGCCTTACGGAGAAGGGGACCGTGGAAGCAAAGGCCCCAGCGCCTGTCCCATCTGCCCTGGGGGCTGCTGTCCCTTTCTATGGCACTCCTAGATGTGTGCTCTGCAAATCAGGGAGTGCATGGAGGTGGGGACTTCCGGATGTCCTAAGGCGGTTGGATTTCATTGCTGCCTTTTCTATTATGGACATTGCCACGCTGAAAGCTGCCTCCTGCAAGTACAGCATAGGATAAGTTCTCAGCAGTGGAACTGCCAGCCCAAGACATGTGACACAGGCTTTCTGGGGGTTTTTGTCACAGGAGGAAGAAGGGGTGCACCGTTCTTCAGCTGTGCTCAGGGAGGGGCATACCCACCTCTGCAAGCCCCTGGGAGACCTTTGTGATGCCACCTCGGTGCATCCCCCAGAAGCGTTTTCTTCCAAACACGAGCTGAGTATTTTATGAATGCACCATTTTTTTCTCTTTGAACAGGAATCTTTGCCTACATGAACTACAGAGTCCCCCGGACGAGGAAGGAGATCTTCGAAACCCTCATCAAGGGCCTGCAGCGGCTGGAGTACAGAGGCTACGACTCGGCAGGTGGGTGTGCGGCCGCCCGCCTCGTGGCTGGGGACCGGGCTCCGCTGCTGTGGTCTCACCCATCTCCACTGCAGGGGGGTTTACAACCAGGGCATTTTTTCTGCTACTTTTTAACGTCTCTTTTCAATATAAAAATAACACTTGTCCGTTAAAGAAATTCGAAAACTATGGAAAAATAGAAGAAGCAAGGGTAAAAAACCCCAGAAAACCCCCTTCATCAGAAGTCCCCCCATCAGGAAGCAGAAAGGGTACAAAGCCACAGTCATGCAGCATGAGTAAGTCCTGGACAGCTGCTCTGCCGTGCGGTGCCTGACTTGAGCAACACTGTATTTTGCACATAAAAATTTGCCAAAAGGGTAGATTTTCATATTTTTATTTTTATTTTTGTTACTCAGGCTGGAGTGCAGTTCCAAGAAATTGGCTCACTGCAGCCTCAAGCTCCTGGGCTCAGGCGACCCTCAGCCTCCTCAGCATCTGGGACTACAGGCGTGCACCACCACACCCGGCTAATTTTTTATTTTTTGTAGAGATGAGGTCTCACTGTGCTGCCCGGCGTAGCCCCAAGCGATCCTCCTGCCTTTGCCTCCCAAAGCACTGAGATTGTAGGTGTGAGCCAGTGAGCCCAGCCAAGAGGGTAGAGCTTATGCTAAGTCCTCTTATCACACACAGAACAATACATAAAGAGGGCAGGAGCAGACTCTCGGAGGTGATAGGTTGATGGCATAGACGGCAGTGGTGGTTTCATGGGGGCACACGTGCCTCCAAGCTCATCGAGTTGTAGACATTAAGTATGCGCAGCGTTGTGTTTGTCAGCCCTGCCTCAGTGAGGTGGCTTCATTAAAAAAGGAGCCCCCATCAGTCTTTGGGACCCTTCTCCGGTCGCTGTTGTCTGTGGGGGTGGTCTGTGGTGGAGGTGTTGTACGTTGATATTTTTTGTTTTTACCTAATTATAATTATGCAATTTTGTAATTTTATATTCTTCTCTTTTCACTTGGCATTTCTAGGATCCTAAACTCATTCATTCTTTTTTTTTTTTTTTCGAGATGGAGTCTCGCTCTGTCACCCAGGCTGAAGTGCAGTGGCGCGATCTCAGCTCACTGCAAGCTCCGCCTCCTGGGTTCACGCCATTCTTCTGCCTCAGCCTCCCGAGTAGCTGGGACTACAGGCGCCCACCACCACACCCTGCTAATTTTTGTACTTTTAGTAGAGACGGGGTTTCACCGTGTTGACCAGGATGGTCTCAATCTCTTGACCTTGTGATCCACCCGCCCTGGCCTCCCAAAGTGCTGGGATTACAGGCGTGAGCCACCGCACCCGGCCGATCCTAAACTCTTTCTAAGTAGCTTTCTAAGTGGCTACACAATGCTCCGCTGGGTGGCTGTCCCAGAGTTCAGGCCTCCATTCACTGCAAAGGTGGATGTTTAGTCTGTTGACCTTGTTTAATTATGCAGCCTGAGGAGAAAGGGGGAGCCCGATGGTTTTAAATCCTTGTCGACTCTTAATAGGAAGCACGTCCGATAGACGACGGGAGGAACACTAACGCAGTGGAGATACCAACGAAATATCACAATGCGAGGAGCCCTTGGGATAAATGCCCTGCCTGGGCCCATTGCCATCAGCCGAGGGCCTGGGAGCGCCTGCAGCGGGGAAGTGTCCCGAGGGGCTCACCCTAGCTAGGCAGGAGCAGGGCTGGGGGCAGCTGCGGCCTGGAGGAGGCAGGGGCTTCCTCACTTGCTGTTAAGCCTGGCCGCAGTCACAGCCTCTTTCAGAGCAGATTTCCTGAAAACTGTACAGCTCTCCAACCTGCCATAAACGGACAGCCCGGGGCATGCAGCCCTGACCCTGCGGAGCACCTGTGCCAAGTGTGTGAGAAAAAGCTTTGGTTGCAATATAACAAATGCTGTCTACATCACAGGTGTGGCGATCGATGGGAATAATCACGAAGTCAAAGAAAGACACATTCAGCTGGTCAAGAAAAGGGGGAAAGTCAAGGCTCTCGATGAAGAACTTTACAGTAAGTGGAGGACCTCTGAGTGGGAGGAGCCGCTGCAGCGCCGGCCGCTTTCTAGGACCGTATTCCAACAGCGCCGGAGAATGGAGATTCTCCTTTGTCCCAGCTCAGATAAACAGAGGGAGGGCTAAGCCCGTGCTGTAAAACCGGGCTTCGCAGGGTATGGGATGGTTTATTTTAGGTGGTGGCGGCGCATGGATAATTTTTTTAAGTGTGAAGGGTTACATACAGTAGTTATTTTAATTATTCCAGCAAATGATACTGCTTCTCTGTTTATGGTAGGGATATATCATTTTCTTTTTAAAGCAAGTTTATTTCTGTGAAGAAGTGAGCTAAGCTACAGACAAGTAGTAAATAACCTTCAGCACGGGTGGTTTGTGGGCCTGCGCGGACTCCCAGGGTGGGAGCTGGTGGGGAGGTGCCATCGGTGTGGGTGACGTGACTTGGGTAACGACACCAGGTTGCACTCACAGTCCTGGGTCGAGGCTTGTTGTTCAAGTGCGGCAAACTGATTTTCCTTTCATTTAGAACAAGACAGCATGGACTTAAAAGTGGAGTTTGAGACACACTTCGGCATTGCCCACACGCGCTGGGCCACCCACGGGGTCCCCAGTGCTGTCAACAGCCACCCTCAGCGCTCAGACAAAGGCAACGGTATGTGGCATGCTTCCCCGTCCCCATGGTTCCACCTCACCCTGAGCTGTGTCAGGGCCAGTGCCCGCCAAAGCAGGTTCCGCGCCCACCTCTAACTGACTTCTCAGCCTACTTCATCTTCCCAAGAGAATGCGGATGTCCCCTCTCCCAGAGCTCTGCCAGTGGCCTGGGCCTCAGTCAGGAGGCAGGCAGCCTGGTCCTAGGGTGGTGCTGGCCTCCCAGGAGTGCACAGGAAAACGATGGCACTTAACCAGGAGAGCTGCTGGCTCCTTGGAACCCAGCCCATGAGTGGGATGAGGCCGCGTGAGGGACTGAGGGGCCTGGGCACTGTTCCTCCCCAAGTGACGGAAATGCTGCAGAAGGGTGTACCCTTCAGGCAAGGATGGGTTCTGTCCTTATGCAGCTAAACCTGTCTTTTCCCCACAGAGTGGTCCAGGTGAGGGCAGGGGCTGTACTGGTCTTGATTGGTGCCACCAGACACACCGTGGGCCCCAGCGGGAGACCTCAGCAGCCAGGGGCTTAGGGTTTGGAGAAGTAGGGGCCGCAGCCCGAAGCCCAGGGGCTCTTCCCAGGTGGAGAGCCCTCAACTCAGCTTGCTTCATGTTCTTAAAAGTTGAGAACCACTGTGCATAAAAGTCCAGACTTCTGGCATCACTTGAAAAACTGGAGGATCTGGAAACACTGAGCTGACAGCACGTTGGAGCACCACAGATTGGCAGAGGGCCAAGGTTGCTGCACCTGCTGTCCTTGGTGGGTTTCAGGCTCTCCTGTTCGCCCAGTCACCCCCTCAGGCCAGCTCACAGGTCTGTGTCACTTGCATGGGTCGCCAGGACAGTTCTCCACGCGTGATTCTCTTAAATGACACCCTTGCCCCCTCTCATGGGGGAAAGACTGGTAGGTCTGCAGCTCCTGGTGGCAGTTCTCAGGGGTCTGTGGTCAGCCCCAGGGCGCCGGGTCCCCTGCAGTGGGATGCAGTAGGCATGGAGCAGAAGAGAGGATCTAATCCCTGTCTCCTCCCAGGCCTCCAAGGGCAGGCAGGAGTCTAAGACATAAGCTGGGCCTTCCAGGGGGTCCCCCACTCTAGGTGAGGCCTGGTCCAGTCACGAGCCCCTGAAGCCCCCAACCTGGACATGCCAGGGGAGGGTGTACAGCAAAGACAGTGATTTCTGAAGTCAACTGGACCCCCCAACCCAAGACATCCTCTGGCATAGTGTAAGTTCGTGCCAAGCCTAATGTTAGATAGGACCAAATACATCAGAGCAGTTACTGGGAGCTTATTAGCAGGCACTAAGCCTTGACACTTGACAAGTCCCACTGCGGTTAATCCTTGTGGAAGTCAGGCCACAGGAGAGCAGCACCAGCCTGCTTGGTGTCCCCCACCCACTGCTGATCAGTGGTTCTCCGAGGCAGTGTAACTGGGCGGGATGGGCAGGCACCCCCACCACCCACAGAAAGTGCAGTGGTGCTGCTTCTCCCCAGAGCACTCTGCAGGGCCTCACCAGCTCACCCCGCCCAATTTGGAAGGGAAGGCGTCCCCCAGAAAACGGAAGGAGAGCCCCATCCACCCTGCTCAGCAGAGCAGCTTGGTGGTAGCACAGGAGCCAGGGCTACTCATGCATCCTAGTGATCAGGGTCTTGAGGGAGTGAGGTTTTTGCGAGGGCCTCTTCCTTGGGTCTGGCTCATGCCCTGAACCATAGGGCATTTCGTGACTGAGGCACACACCCTATGTCCAGGAGGAGGACAGCAGACCCCATGGTGCTGAGGACCTAGAATGTACATCTGGCCAGAGCCCAGGTCAAGTGCAGAAGCTGGTCCCTGGGGCAGTCGTGCTGGCCGAGAAAACACTGCGCCCAGACCATGTGCCCTGAGATGTTGCCACTTTAGCCACAGCCTCCTGCCCTTCCCAGTGATAAAATGAACCTCATTGGAAAATCCCCCACTTCAGTGTAGATGATGATTCTCATTGTGTCCCCAAAGCAGGGAGGCTCCCAGGAGGCCCACCCACACCCAAACTTGGACACTCCAGCCCTGACTCAGGATGAGTAATTGAAAAGAAAACAACAGGACAATAAGCAAAGATTTATAAAATTTCTTTGACACTCAGCAGTGATAGCTGAAGAGCATGCTTTTAAGGAAGTCTGAACGCCCAGCAACTATACCACACAAGGAAATTACACAAAGATTCTGCAGAGACAACATGGATTCCAGAAAACAAATTAATGATAGGATCATAGACTGAGATGAAAGAAAGTGTAGCAGAATTAAGAGAATAATGTAAAGAAACAATATCACCGGCCAGGCATGGTGGCTCACGCCTGTAATCCCAGCACTTTGGGAGGCCGAGGCGGGCGGACCATGAGGTCGGGAGATCGAGACCATCCTGGCTAACACGGTGAAACCCCATCTCTACTAAAAATACAAAAAATTAGCCAGGCATGGTGGCGGGTGCCTGTGGTCCCAGCTACTCGGGAGGCGGAGGCAGGAGAATGGCGTGAACCTGGGAGGCGGAGCTTGCAGTGAGCCGAGCTCGCGCCACTGCACTCCAGCCTGGGCGACAGAGTGAGACTCCATCTCAGAAAAAAAAAAAGAAAGAAAAAGAAACAATATCACCATAGATATAAAAAAATGGAGAAGGGGATGGACGTGGAGCCAGTTAATATGGATCCAACATATGGGTAACTGGTGTGCACAAGAAGCGATCAGAGCACAGAGCAGTAAAAAATAAATAAATAAATACATAAAAAATAAAGCTGAGCTGTGGTCAGCACATCTGTTGAAACTGGGCTTTTCTTATTTAAGCCCTCCCATTTTTGGGTGTGACCTCACAAAAACAAACACTACAATTTTTTTAAATAGAGGAAATCATGGTGAGAATAAAGAAAAAGAATAATGGAAAAGATTTCAAAAGATGCTGTGGGAGAAATCTTTCCCGAACTGAAGGAAAACTTGAGTTGGATATCCAAAGAAGGGATCAAAAATAGTCAATAGACCAGGCACAGTGGCTCAAGCCTATAATCCCAGCACTTTGGGAGGCCAAGGTGGGTGGATCGCCTGAGGTCAGGAGTTCGAGACCAGCCTGGCTAACATGGTGAAACCCTGTCTCTACTAAAAAAATACAAAAATTAGCCGGGTGTGGTGGCGAGCACCTGCAATTCCAGCTACTTGGGAGGCTGAGGCAGGAGAATCGCTTGAACCCGGGAGGCAGCAGTCGTGGTGAGCCAAGGTCACGCCACTGCACTCCAGCCTGGGCAACAGAGTGAGATTCTGTCTCAAAATAATAATGGTAATAATAAAAACAAATAAGACTTCACAGTGATGCTTTGAAAAAAATAGTCAATATTTATGAAGCGTATCCCACATCTAGACACCTCCTGGTGGAATTATTGAACCTCAAGGGTAATAGGGAATCTTTCTGTCCTCTAGGGGGAGAGGGAAACGGAGCTACTTGCCCAGAAAAATTCTCAGGCTGGCCTTGGATCTTTCCCTCAAGGCACTCATATGCGGGCTATTCATTGAGAAAATGCAGTGGGGTGGAGGCAGACATCCCTCACCGCATCCCCCGCATCCCCCTGCTCCCCCCGCCCCCCCGCCACCTCCCCGCCAGGATCAGCGGGGTGCTACCTGTGCAGGAAGCCGCCCGCGTGAGCTGGGTTGTGCGGCAGGAACTGGGGAGGTGGGAAAAGCTGCAGCTGGCAGATCCTGCTGTGCAGGAATGTGGCTGAGCCTGGGGATGCCAGAACTTCTGGGATTTTTCCCCCAAGGAAACCAGGATTTTAAAGTGAACACTCAGAATTTTAAAAACTCAAATATTTTTACAACACAGTGTGGGTCAAACACAGCACGGTGCTGGACTGTTCTTTGCGACCTCTTTGTGCCTAAAGCCAGTTGAGAGTGCCTGGAATCACTTCTGGAACGAAGGGCTCATCATCCCCGTGGGACATGAACCCCAAAGCCTGTTTGATACTATAATAGCGCACAGGGGAGAGCTCTCTGCACGGTCAGGCTGGTGGCTGCTGGTCACTGAAAGAGGGATGTGTATTTCCTCCGGATCCCATTGTAGTAGCCGCTGCCCTAGACATCCCTGGTGCTAATCCCTGGTTCCACTGTAGTTGCTGCCGTAAACATCTGTGCTAATCACTGTAAACAAAGTGTGCTTAACAGAAGTCTTGAGGCCTGGAGTTTGCAGAGAGTTCTCAAGCCTTGAAATCATCTCTCTTCACATCTGACATGAACCTCCTTCTCAATAGCATTTCTCTCTTAACTTTTCTTTCAGAATTTGTTGTCATCCACAATGGGATCATCACAAATTACAAAGATCTGAGGAAATTTCTGGTAAGATGCTTCCCCTAGGTGATGTCTCAGTCCGGTGGGATTGGTCTCCCCAGAAACTTTCCAGCCAGCTCATTTCCTTGCGGAAACCAGTGTGGGAACTGAGTGAGACCCACACTCAGCCACGTCACCGTGTTGAGAAGAAACCTCTGCCTTGGCTGAGCCAGGCCCTGCAGATCTCGTTTGAGGAGATAACAGGGCATTAGTGTTTATCTCAAGGGCCACTGCAGATTCCCAGAATCAAAATAACAGGAGCTTCGTTTTATTAAACTGTCTGCATTATATAACACAGCGACTCGTATACCGGCGGAGTTGGGACGGAAAGTCAGACAGTGACTGTCTGAAGTTTGAAAGGCTCTGTGGTGTTAGTTGGGATGTGGGTGGGTTTGACTCAACGTATTTTATCATTTTGACTGCTGTTATTTTGCAATGTCCAGATTAGTGGCAAGGGTGAGCTTCTGAGGTGGGATGATCTCAGGGCCTCCGGGAGTGACTCAGAGGTATTTGGCTGTGATGCTGGCAAACATTTTTCCCCCCTTCCCGGTTTTCCCTGTTCTTGACTTAAGTCACTCCAAGGGCAGATCACCAGGGAGGAGAGGGAGTTGGCCAGGCAGGCATTGTGCAATGACCAATCTCTCACACTGTGCCGACTGCATATTCCAGGAAAGCAAAGGCTACGAGTTTGAGTCAGAAACAGATACAGAGACCATCGCCAAGCTGATTAAATATGTGTTCGACAACAGAGAAACTGAGGACATTACGTTTTCAACGTTGGTCGAGAGAGTCATTCAGCAGTTGGTGAGTTACAAATCCCATCTGTCTAACTCATTCCTTCATTCTTTCATTAAAAACATTTTTTTCAAGCAGCAAGTGCCAAGGAATCCTTCATTTTTTATAAGCCCTTGTTAGACAAACTTGCACAGAGTCCTGGGGATAAAAGACAGCCCATCTGCAGAGCCTGGCCTTAAGATGTTACACTCTTGTAGAACTGGAAGACGTTCTGTGGTTTGGGTAGTCAACATCAAATAGAAAGTGCCCTGCTTCATCGTGACACTTCTGAAATTGTGACTGGCATTAGAGTCCGTGGCTTTTTATGATGCACACGTGAGCTTGGTGGTGGTGTGCAGAGAGAGTTGTGGTACCAAGCGAGGATGTGTTTCTAGGTTTTTCTTTTTTGAGACAGAGTCTCACTCTGTTGCACAGGCTGGAGTGCAGTGGTGTGATCTTGGCTCACTGCAACCTCCACCTCCCAGGTTCAGGCAGTCCTCCTGCCTCAGCCTCCTGAGTTAGCTGAGACTACAGGCACGCACCACCACACCTGGCTAATTTTTGTACTTTTAGTAGAGACAGGGTTTCACTATGTTGACCAGGCTGGTCTCGAACTCCTGACTTTAAGTGATCCACCTGCCTTGGCCTCCCAAAATGCTGGGATTTACAGGCGTGAGCCACTGTGCCTGGCCTGTTTTTGTGATAGGTGATATCACAGCATGTCTGTATGTGGAACGGAATGGCCCAAAAGAGGGAGAGAGGGAGAGAGATTGGGGACATCCCAGAGGACAGGGCCCAGGGAGAAGAAGTCCCTGAGAAGGGAGCACACACTGGGCGTATTGTCCAAGGGGAGGCCCCTACACTGAGGAGGAGGTGGAGCAGACACAGGCCCATGCAGGGTGCGGGAGGACGAGAGGGGTCCGGGCCTCTCAGAGCCCATCCTGTCAGACAGCAGTGCCACCCAGTAGCTCCCCCAGGGCTGTGGCAGCCTGGACACTGGCCCAGAGTCCAGAACATCTGGCAGGCACCATCCTGTAGTGTAAAATACATCATTCTTGAGCAGGTGTTTTCAGAGTCTGATTTAAAAAGTAAGTCTACTGTTGAAGCCTTTTTGTCCTCTAACTCCCGTTTTTGGAGGTCCATCATTTAGAGGACGTGTTTATAAAAAACAGCCTATCCCACATTTAATGTGCTGGATAAGGTACAGTGAGCCAATTAGGTATTACAGCATGCTGTTTCTTCTTTTCCATTTTTATTTTGAAATTTCAGAAATACCTCTCTCATAATGACACTTTTAAACTTAAGACTTTTCCTACCTGGGACAGTACCGGGCTCTTTTTGGCAGAGAACGTGCAGTGTTTTTCCATTCAGTCCTATTTTATTGTTGACAAAAGCACCAGGGTCTGCCTGAAGCCCCCTGGTTTGGGGCAGTTTGAAAGCCCCAATGAGGCCTGGGGACGGTGACTCAGGTTCCTGGCCCTGTAGCTGAGTTGGCAACCTGGACCCGACACGCTGACCACCCGGGGCCTGGGGCTGCCCGTGGCTTCCACACTTGGAGGATTTCTTGTGGAAATTCAGATTTGCAGCTGGTTATATATAACTGAGCTCTGCTAGGGTTGCGGTAAGTTAGTACAGGATGGTCAGGACGTGGGGGAAGAATTTACACCAAGAATTTAAGTCAAAAAACCATCTGGCCTCTTGTGTTAGGAGAGCTGGATTCTAGTTCTGGCTTTGCACAAACCAACCAGCTGAGGCCCAGAGGGCAGGTGGCAGTCGTATCCATGGAAAGGATAATAGCAGTAACGGTCATGACAACCTGTGCTTCTCTTGGGTCTCCGGATGCCAGGCTCAGTGCATTAGCTTATCATCGTCACGGAAGCCCCGCCAGGTGGCGCTGTTCTCACTTCCTTCACCGATGAGGAGAACGAGGCGCCAAGAAGGCTAAAGGGAGAGCCCAGTGCAGGGGTGGAGCCAGGATTTGAACCCAGGCCCTACCGTGTGTTGAGCTAAAGTGCACTTCACAGGGGCTTGCTGAGTAGGTGCTGTCCCTGAGCAGGGCAGGGAAGCCTGGTCCCAGCTATCATTTCCTGTGACTCTCACTGCCCCGTCTACCCAGCTGGCACCCCTGCCGGGCTCCCTGTGGGCCTGGGCAAGCCGCACATCGCTCACCGTGGAATTCACATGTTCTGGTTTGTGGTACTTCCCGTGGCACCGTCTGTTTTGCTTTCCCTCGTGATGTCACCCCGGATGCGCTGTTCTGCACTCAGCTCCCCGAGGGACCCCAGGACCTCCCGCCATCAGGAGGGGCCCAGGGAGACGCACCTGGGCTGTGGCCAGGCTGCAGCAGCGGCTGCTGGAACGCGTTGACCCTCACTGTTTGTGTGTTTTCAGGAAGGTGCATTCGCGCTGGTTTTCAAGAGTGTCCACTACCCAGGAGAAGCCGTTGCCACACGGTGAGGCAAAACACACTGGCATTTCCCATAAGAAAGAACGAAAATAAAATCACTTAGCTGGAGGGAGACGGGAGAGGTAGGGCCTGTGGCACGCTGAAAGGTGCTCGTGGTGTCTAAAGAACAACTGTGGCTCAGCCCCGGGGACCGCGCCCCACCATCTCCATGGCTGGTGGTGCTACACTTCTGAATTAAAAAAAAAAAAAAAGAAACCAGAAAGTTGGATTTGTGTTTGAAATCTCCACAGATTTTTAGAGGTGGGCAACAAATTCCAGTTATAAATAAAATCGTACAGACAGGGCAGATCCAGGTTTTGTGGGGCTTGAAGCCTGTACAATGTGGGCCCCCCTTTAAGAAAAAGCAAAATTATGAACATGAAACTAGGGAGCAAAGTGAATATTGATTTGGATCCAGTACAGCAGAGGCCTTGAAGGCCCGGGGCTCAAGCTTCACCTTCACAAAGGAGCATGCCAGGAATCGGCTCAGAGAGCCTGCTTGCCCCAATGTGTCCCTCTGTTACGGTGGGCCCCCAGTGCTGCATGGATTTACAGAAGCAGGTTAAGTGCCATCCTGTTTATATTCACATAGGTTGATCATCCATCCAACCATGCAACTAATATTTACTGTGCACTTACTGTGTGCTGGGCCCTGGGGACTTAGTGACATCTGACCTGGTCCCTGCCTTGAAGGGCTGAACAGTTGTACAGGAGGGCAGAGAAGGGCAGAGGATAGTGATGCCCTGTGCCCGGCCCCAGCACAGGATATCACCTTACCTGGCAGGGGGGCAATGGCAGGTAGCCCCAGGCAGGCAGTGGGAAGAGGAACCAGCATGAGCAAAGGCAAGGGGCCCAGAGGGAGTGGGACCTCCCAGGATCCCCGTTGGCAAGGTGGGGGCATGGTGCAAGGGCATTGGTGGGACGGAGGCGTTCTAGGCCCAGTGTGTGTTTACTGACACCTGCTGTGTGCCAGGCATGGGAGACAGTGGTGAGCAAGGTGGTATGGACACTGCTCCAGGGCCTCAAAGGCTGTGGGGAGTGGAGAGGCGGACAGAGGCCGGCTCTAAATGGCCTCAGTGCCCTGTGGGCTGCGGGCTTCATCTGAAGCCCCAGGGGAGCCATCTGGAATGAACCTGTGGCCTGGGAGACGGCCGGAGAGGGTGAGGCTGTCTCTTCCAGACTGGCGTAGTATCTCAGCAGGAAACAACAGGAATTTATCATCATTTTTTTTAACCTTTTCTAAAACTGGAACTAATTTGCCATTTGGAATTTAATTCCTTCAATTCATAGAATTATAAAATACCAGTTGGTTCCTATCAAATTTAGAAGCCCTTTTTAAAATCCAATTTTATCATGATTTACTATTTTAAATGAACTCAGAAGAAGGCAGCGTGAAGAAGCAATAAAGCTTTATTTTTCTAAATTGCCTATAACTGAGGGCTCTATAACCTGCAGTACAATCTTCGGGTTGTCTTGGGAGAATTATATGTCTCAAGGTCTAGAGAAACCACAGAGCTCAACCTACAGCAATAAAATTTGGGGGAGTCATTTGCCAAGAAAATTAGATATCCACCTACTTTCTCACTGCCATTATTATAAACTATTTATGCTAGTTCCCCACTGGCCCCAGAACTATGTCTCAGATTTGCTTTACACAATAAATGATTAAAATATTCAAGGTGTTCATAGCACCTTCCTCAAAGCCCCAGACTTTGTCCCCCGCTTTGAGAAGCCATAAGTGGGGTCCAAACAGGCCAACGTGACTGGAAAACAAGGTCTGTTATTGTTGAAGAAAAATTTAGGAACTGCATTGAGTCAGGCTAACAGATTATGGATATATGTGGACTGGATTCAAGCCGATGAGCAAGCACTTCATTAGTTCATTGATCTAAGTTAGCAAGAAATCACCTAAGGTAAAATGTTACTGGATTGTATTCCAATTCATGTGTTTGAAACAGCTCTCTTAAATTGTCTTATTACAGTGTTCGTCGGTGTTTTCTTCTTATTAATAAATTAATGTGTAGAGGGGAAAGGCACACATCCTTTCGTAACTACTGCACTTTTACCTGCCTGGTTTTGAAGAACCGCAGGTTTAGAGCGCATGTGTTACCAGAGTGAGCCTCTTATTTCTGTGCACACCTATGGTAGATTTTATTTGCATGCTATAATTTATAAGAATGAGCAAAGGATTAGATTTTGGAATCAGGATATCATTTAAATCATGAGATCCTTTTATTTATTTATTTATTTATTTATTTAGAGATGGAGTCTCGCTTTGTCGCCCAAGCTGGAGTGCAGTGGCACGATCTCGGCTCATTGCAACCTCCGCCTCCCGGGTTCAAGTGATTCTCTTGTCTCAGCCTCCAGAGTAGCTGGGATTACAGGCACCCCCCACCATGCCCAGCTAATTTTTGTATTTTTAGTAGAGACAGGGTTCCGCCATGTTGGCCAGGCTGGTGTCAAACTCCTGATCTCGTGATCTGCGCGCTTCAGCCCCGCAAAGTGCTGGGATTACAGGCGTGAGCCACTGTGCGCCCAGCCAAATCATGAGATCTTCATCACGTCCACCACTAGAAGTTGTGAATCAGAGGAAATATCCTAAAGCTCTTTCCTAAAGATCCCCTGCTGAGGTGCTCAGAGAGCCGGGCTGCAGTGGCTGAGACAGTGACGCTGGGACAGGAGGCCTGAGTGAGGGCCCCTCACCTTGGCCAGCTGCAGACTCCCTGAGATTTTGCCTGTGACAGTTATTGTCCTCTTTATGATGAAGTCTACCTGGTGCGGGGTGAAGATTCTAAACTTCCATCCACGGGGTGTCACTTTGGCAGAGACAAAAAACCACCCAAGAAATCACCTTATGTCACCTACAAAGTAGAGAATATACAAAAGTCAGTCAGACTAGTGCCCACTAATGCTAGAGAACTGGGCTAGGGGAAGGGAAGGAACAACAGGGGGTCTTTGGGCAGATGGTGGGTGCAGAGCCCTATTGTTATAGGGATGCGCTGCCGTCGAGGCTGGGTGGAGACCTAGAGTGCCCCTGTGCCCCACCAGCGCCTCCTCTGCTGCCAAACGCTCAGCCTCCGCCATCTAACCTTGTGGGTTGGTCACATGTGGGGACTTGACTGGACTGGAGGAGGCCCGGCCTAGGAGGGTGGGAGTGAGACAGGTTACCAAGCTTTCTGGGCAGGTGGGTGATGCCAAGTCAGGGACCTGGGACTCAGGAGCTGGCCTTTCCATCCTGTGCTCCAGGCGTCCGTCCTGTGGGACCTAAACAGGATCCTCCACCACTGGGAAAGGGCTAGATTTGGGGATCCTACCTCAGATGCTGGGCAGACACCCAGCACTGGGCGTCAAAGGCAATGGGTAATGGGATGCCTCTTTCTCCCTACAGGAGAGGCAGCCCCCTGCTCATCGGAGTCCGGAGCAAATACAAGCTCTCCACAGAACAGATCCCTATCTTATACAGGACGTGTAAGTTTCTCAAGAAGTACCGGAACAGCACAGCTGCTGGTGTCGCAGGACTCGGCAGCTGCTCTGGCACAGTCAGCTCCCCTCTGAGGCAAGGAAACCCCACTCTGAGCCAGACCCAACAGGCGCACAGCTCCAGGTCTAAAAGGTTTTTGTGCAACTGAGACTTGGCTCCATTTTTTTTAAGCTTTTTATCATGGACATGAATTTATCATGATTTTGTATATTGTCAAACATACACAAAAGTGCCATTGTATAACGGCAACTGGGCTTTGATGTGAGTGCTTCTTTGGTTTGTTTTTGTTTGCATTCCTCTCACACTGTAGCCATTTAAATGCTTTTGCAGTGGTACTGTGCTATTGGGGGATCTTTTACACGATTTGGCTGACACAGCCAAAGCTAAAAATTGCAAATTTCTCCCACACATATTCAGAGGGGAAATTGGTTCCTTGCTGCATATTATGCAAACAAAACATCCCAGTGGGATTTGCAACCCATTCCTCCATTTGCTAGGCACTCTGGAGAATGTGAAGAATATCTGTAAGACACGGATGAAGAGGCTGGACAGCTCCGCCTGCCTGCATGCTGTGGGCGACAAGGCCGTGGAATTCTTCTTTGCTTCTGATGCAAGGTAACTGAGCCTTCTTCTCTTCGCTTCCTGGGATTACATAATCAAAGAATGCCTGTCTAAACACTGCCGGTTCTTATTCATCCTTCCATGTGAGCTATCGTGGCTCAGCAAGTCGCAGGGCCAAAGAAGAGTTCAGCCATCCCTGGGCCTGGGCCTGGAGTCCTTGTCCTAGGAGCACCTGCATGACTGTGGTAGGCAGCCCTGGTGGCCAAAGGCCAGATGCACTGGTGGGCACAGTGCTTCGAGCCTGCACAAAATGAATGGGTTAGTTGCCAATGTTGTAAAATTTGGAGATTTCACAGAGAAATCTGAAATCTCTAGCTTCTCTGGAAGAACTAGCAGATCGGGGCATGCTGTGCAGCCCTCTCTCAGGTGGCAGGTGTCTGGATCTGCTCAAAGGCTGCCCCCTTTAGATGAGACAACTGTGTCTAGACCTCAGTCCCTCCCATGCCCCTCCCTGCCTTTGCCTGGGGTGAGACCATTTGTGAAAGACAGAGCCAAGACACAGGGAGTTTTTCAATTGATTCTAAAGTCCATGCTCTCATCAATCCACTGAATAATGATTTTGAAATTTGAGAAATTCTGCTTTATACTCATTTCAGAAAAAAAAAAAGTTATACACACACTCACACACACACAGAGAGAGAGAGAGGGAGAGAGAGAACCAGAGCACTTTCCTGCCATTTGAAGTAGAAAACTGCTGTAATCACCTCTGGTACCTTCTTCAAAGACCCAAAGGCTTGGGCCTTTGTTATGTTTCCATTCTTGATGGGTTTTCTCTTTCCCGACCAGCCTCTAATAGGGCCGTGCTGTGAGGCAGGGAGGACACCAGGCCGGGTCTCCTGGGAAACGGGAGCGACAGGGAGGCGAGGCCTGATTAAACGCACAGCCAGCATCATACTTAACGCTGAGGTCAAGGCAGCGCTTCCCAAATGGTGCCCCTTAGAACACGCCGAGAATACCAACGAGACGCTGGTATTATTTCAGTGATTCTAAAACACGGAGAATTGTAGATTTTGGCATAGTACCATTAGAATTTGTTGAAGCTTTTATTTCTTAGAAGTTTGTCAAATAATTGTGATCTTAACGATCAATAGTAACTTATATTCAATGAAATATGATAGATGTTTCTTTTTTTATTTTTATTTATTTATTTATTTTGTCTCACTCTGTCGCCCAGACTGGAGTGCAGTGGTGTGATCTCGGCTCACTGCAAGCTCCGCCTCCTGGGTTCAAGTGATTCTCCTGCCTCAGCCTCTGAGTAGCTGGGACTACAGGTGCCCGCCACCACGCCCGGCTAATTTTTTGTATTTTTAGTAGAGATGGGGTTTCACTGTGTTAGCCAGGATTGTCTCCATCTCCTGACCTCATGATCCGCCCTCCTCAGCCTCCCAAAGTGCTGGGATTACAGGTGTGAGCCACCGCGCCCATCCAGATGTTTCTTTTTTTTTAAAAAAAAGGCATGAATGCCTGAAAGGAGAGGAAATAATTATTTGTAGGCAATACTATTACACATTTTTAAATCCAGCCAAAAGGCTGTTAGAACTGATAGTACTAGCAGCTGGGAGTAAAGGTGTGGAAATCCTATATCCTGGCCTTAGCCACTAAGCTGTATCTGGTTCAAGTGGGACCTTGTCCACCTTATTCTCAGGTGTCACCTCACGTGACCAGGCACGATGCAGTCAGCAAACGTTAGGTGAACCAAAAAAGCAATACTATTCACCACAGCTGGAAAAAAAAATGCTTTAGAGTAAATTTTAACAAAAATACTCTAGAACATATTTGGAGAAGTCTACAGAAATTTACCATGAGGAAGTAAGAGATTTGAATATAGGAAGAGATTCCACATTCCTCAGTAGGAAGGCTTACTATTCTTTTCTTTTTTTTTTTTTGAGACAGGGTCTCATTAAGTTGCCCAGGCTGTCCTCGAACTAACTCCTGGACTCAAGGGATCCTCCTGCCTCAGCTTCCAGAGTAGCTATTTTCAAAAATTAATGCACTCAACATTTAAAACTAATTTAATGATTACAAGTTATTTTTAAAAAATATTGACTCTACCCAAATTATTCTGTGAATTCTGTGCTGTAATTAAGACTGTCCAGGCCGGGCGTGGTGGCTCACGCCTGTCATCCCAGCACTTTGGGAGGCCGAGGCGGACAGATCATGAGATCAGGAGATCGAGACCATCCTGGCCAACACGGTGAAACCCGGTTTCTACTAAAAATACAAAAAAAAAATCAGCCGGGCGTGGTGGCGGAGGCCTGTAGTCCCAGCTACTCGGGAGGCTGAGGCAGGAGAATGGCGTGAACCCGGGAGGCGGAGCTTGCAGTGAGCCGAGATCGCGCCACTGCACTCCAGCCTGGGCAACAGAGCGAGACTCCGTCTCAAAACAAAACAAAACAAAACAAAACAAAACAAAACAAAACCCTCCATATTATTTTATTTGTTTATGCCTTTGGAACTTCAGGAAGTGATTCTGTCGCGTGTAGTGTAGAGATAAGAAAGACAACACATGCTGAGAAAGGAATGGCAGGTGGCCCTCCCAGATGTGAGCACACTGTCCAGCTTTTGGGCAACGGTGGCCAGTGTGTGCGGGGCACGGTATGAGAGCCTCACCAGGATCCCATGCGATAATCATGACAGACCTCTGGGGAAGGCACAGCTCTTTTCTGTTTACAGAGGCGGAACCTGAGACAGGAACTCCAGGGGGTTATGTATGTTGCCCACGGGCACAGGTCTGGCAAGTGACAGAGGCCCCGAGTCCACCTCAAGCCTAACTGGTGGGCCATTGGTTTTAATGACTAGATTACATGACTACCCATTTTGGAAATAAAATAATTATATTTAAACAAACATGTACATGCACACATAAATATAAACACACATGCGTCATGCATTGTTGGTTGGTTAATGCTACAATGGAAGCAGTGTTGATCTCTCGGAGACAGGATAGGGCCGTTTTTACTTCTTGTCACTCCATGTTTCTACTTTTTATACAAAAAAATATATTTCTATACAAAATTTTGTATAAAGCTCTGTATACTTTTATACAAAGCATACAAAGTTATTTGTACACTTTTATACAAAGCATACGAAGTTATTTGTACACTTTTATACAAAGCATACGAAGTTATTTGTACACTTTTATACAAAGCATACGAAGTTATTTGTACACTTTTATACAAAGCATACGAAGTTATTTGTATACTTTTATACAAAGTTTTGTTTAAAATATTTTTTCCAGTACAGTGGCTTGCCATCTTTCTTTCTCTTTCTTCCCTAGGATCTGGCTGGATATACGTCTTTTAGAGCCTTAGACCTTGATGGTTTCTCTCTTTACCTTTGCACCAGGAGTTTAAGTGTTCATTTTCAGGCAGTCACGTGTGGGTGTGGCTCTTGATAGAATGAGAGTGTTTTTTTTGAGACGGAGTCTTGCTCTGTCACCCAGGTTAGAGTGCAGTGGCACAATCTCAGCCCACTGCAGCCTCCGCCTCCTGGGTTCAAGTGATTCTCCTGCCTCCCAAGTAGCTGGGATTACAGGTGCCCGCCACCACACCTGGCTAATTTTTGTATTTTTAGTAGAGACGGGGTTTTGCCATGTTGGCCAGGCTGGTCTCAAACTCCTGACCTCAGGTGATCTTCCCGCCTTGGTCTCCCAAAGTGCTAGGATTACAGGTGTGAGCCAGGGCTCCCGGCCGAGAGTGTTTTCTCCAGTAGTCCTTCAAGCCCAACCTGATGGTTTATACCACAACTATATACCATTAATCACCTTTCTTTTTCATTTAGCAACTTTTCAAACTTAAAATGATTTTAAAAGATACTTTGTATTATGATCTCAAGGGAAAAAAATCATTATTCTTTTCCATACAGAGAAAGTTATAAAAATAAACACAATGGGCTGGGCACGGTGGCTCACACCTGTAATCCCAGCACTTTGGGAGGCCGAGGCGGGCGGATCACGAGGTCAGGAGATCGAGACCATCCTGGCTAACACGGTGAAACCCCGTCTCTCCTAAAAATACAAAAAAGTAGCCGGGCATGGTGTCGGGCACCTGTAGTCCCAGCTACTCGGGAGGCTGAGGCAGGAGAATGGCGTGAACCCGGGAGGCAGAGCTTGCAGTGAGTGGAGATCGCGCCACTGCACTCCAGCCTGGGCGACAGAGCGAGACTCTGTCTCAAAATAAATAAATAAATAAACACAATGACCCTATGTTTCTTTGGTAAGCATAGCTTGTAGACTACTTTTAGGGCTCCTTTGTGTATGTGTGTGTGTGTGTAAGAAACTAGGTCTTTTGTCCTGATGAGTTTCCCATTGTCTGGGTTTTGCTGAGTGCAACCCCTGGTGTCATTTACCATCTTCCTCTGTCCCCTGTGTTTCCTGTACGCTGGAGTTTACAAGTGTTAAAAGCTCGATCTTATTCAGGTTTGATTTTTTTTGGCAAGACTACATAGTTGGTGGTGTGTCCTTCCATCAGGAGGCGGGTGATGTCTCACCATCTCTCTTTTTGTGCTAAGAGCCATCAGGGGTTTGAGTGTTGCCAGCCTTATCCATCCATGATAAAGCTTCGTCCAGCTTTTTACCTTCTGGTTTCAACAGCCATGAATGGTCCTTGATTAGAGCTATTAATAATTAGGAGTTCATAAATTGATTCTTCTATTATTTCTTCATTACTAGCTGTATCACTTCTTAGAGAAACTTGCCTTCATAAAGTATGTGGTTGTTCTGAAAGACAGATTGTTTAGAAAGGCGAGATAAATGCTTTATTCTTTCCCTTCACGATTCAGAATAATGTGTTGGTTCTCGAGTATCTTCCAGAGGTGACATTGTTTGGATCCTGATTTGAAGAAACCGGTTATAAAAAGACAGCCGTGAGATTATTGGAGATATGTAAACATGCTGAATATTTGATGATATAAAGGAACAACTATTCATTTTAGATATGATTATGGTATTATAGTAGGTTAAAATAGTTTTAGAGCTCTATGGTAAAGTGTTTACAGAAGAAATGATATAATGTCTGGGACTGGCTTCAAAATAATTCCGTGGGGACAGGAGGGAAGAGTGGAGAAGAAAAGGAAGATTCACCTGCAAATCAATGTTTTTAGTGTGGTCTCTCTGTCCCTCCTAAAATGCCAACGATGTGGCCTCCACGCTTGGGAACCAGCAAGGGGCTGCTGCCTCGTAACTGCTCAGGGCAGGGCACTGATGATGCCTGTTTCCCTTGCCCCAGCGCTATCATAGAGCACACCAACCGGGTCATCTTCCTGGAGGACGATGACATCGCCGCAGTGGCTGATGGGAAACTCTCCATTCACCGGGTCAAGCGCTCGGCCAGTGATGACCCATCTCGAGCCATCCAGACCTTGCAGATGGAACTGCAGCAAATCATGAAAGGCAGGTGTCCTCCAGAGTCCACGTGCGGCAGCCTCGGGAGCCAGCGCGCCTGGTGGAGCTCCTGACACTCTGCCTGGTCCTAGTAGAGGCCACAGCCCTCCTGCCCTCTGTGGCCACCAGGGCGGGGCTGCAGGTAGCCTGTGGCTTGCACAGGTGAGGGGATGTGGGGAGGCTGGCCTGGCACCTCCAAGCGGGGGCTCCTGTGTGCAGCCAGCCGCCAGGTCTTTCCTACTGGAACTGAGCCCAGTGTGTCAGCTGCCTTCCTTCACCGACTCCGCGGGACACATGCCCACCCTCAGGCATCATTTCTCCTCTGGGTGGAAGTCTGCAGGTCTGCAGTAAATGGGGGGTGGGGGTACACTTTCTCCCTACAAGGAGAGCCTCTCTGTCTGCACCCATTTCTGTCCCCTTACAACCTCTACCCCACAGGGCAGCCTGAGCAAACGTCTAAGAACATGAATCAGCCCCTGTGATCATCCCGCTGCTCAAGGCCCTCCAATGGTTTCCTACTGTTCTTAGAATAAAATCCAAACTCCCTGCCACAGCCCACAAACCCCACACCCCAGTGGGGCCAAAGCCTGGCCCCACCACACTCAACCCTCTGTCCCACTGTGCCCCGCCACAGCCCCTGCATTCGCTGTTCTTCTCATAGGACTGGTTCCTTTTCATTGCCTCCAGCTCCCTTGAAATGTCACCCCCTCAGAGACTCCTTCTCTGCTCCTGTGTCTGCCATGGTCCCTCCCCAGCCCCTCCCCTATGGTGGCCACCCCTCATTCCCCTCACTTGCTTCATTTGCTCGTCGCACAAGTGCCAGGTCATGGGAGACAGGCCGGGAGCATGGGCGATGTTGGTGTCATGAGTGTGCGTATCCTAGAGAACACGGCCTGCCCTGCCTGTGGGTACCTCCAGAGCATCAGGTGCAGGGGCTTGAACACCCTGCAGCCCCATTGTCCCATCAGCACCATCCAATCCCACTCAAATCAGAGCCCTGGAAATGCCTGTGTGGCTGGAAAGGTTTTTTTTTTTTTTTTTTTGAGACGGAGTCTTGCTCTGTCGCCCAGGCTGGAGTGCTGTGGCGCGATCTCGGCTCACTGCAAGCTCCGCCTCCCGGGTTCACGCCATTCTCCTGCCTCAGCCTCCCAAGTAGCTGGGACTACAGGCGCCCGCCACTACGCCCGGCTAATTTTTTGTATTTTTAGTAGAGACGGGGTTTCACTGTTTTAGCCGGGATGGTCTCGATCTCCTGACTTCGTGATCCGCCCGCCTCGGCCTCCCAAAGTGCTGGGATTACAGGCGTGAGCCACTGCGCCCGGCCTGGAAAGGTTTTTATTACGGAAACCAGGAGGGTATTTATTAGAAGGAAAATTGCCTGTTTCTTTGGGCCTGCTTAGCTGTACTTTCCTAGCTGGATGGCTTTTTGGGAGTGAAGCACTTTACTTTCTTTTGGCCTTGCTAAGGGAGCATGGCCCAGAGGGATCAGCCAGGCCATTTGTTACTTGCATGCCTTGGGCAAATCCCTCCCTTTCTCAAGCTGCAGGGTCCAATATGTAAATTGGAGATAGTCCTGGTTCCTGACCTGCTTCCCTCTGATGGTAGTGAGTGTCAGGCAGGGTAATCCCTGGGGATGCCTTTGGGAATCTGCAGTAAGCTTTACAGGAGTTACTATCGCTGCTGCATAATGAAAAGCAGTGAAATATAATGAAATTAAAACTGACCAGACGTTTATTTGACCAGGTAACTTCAGTGCGTTTATGCAGAAGGAGATCTTCGAACAGCCAGAATCAGTTTTCAATACTATGAGAGGTCGGGTGAATTTTGAAACCAACACAGGTAATTCCTACACTCGGTGGGGAGCCTCCGCCCGAGCCTAGTCTCAGGGAATGCGGTGACTGTGTAGACTCAGCATTAACGCCTTGTCGTGTGCCCTGCAGTGCTCCTGGGTGGCTTGAAGGACCACTTGAAGGAGATTCGACGATGCCGACGGCTCATCGTGATTGGCTGTGGAACCAGCTACCACGCTGCCGTGGCTGTAAGTGTGACACATGTGCGTGGGGAAGTCGACGGCAGTCTAGGACCAGACACTGGCCTTCAGTTTTATCACTCATGTGGCCTTCTGAATTTGGCTAAGCCCTTGTACCCATTCCCATGAGCTAGCGTGAGAAATGACACGGAGCCCTTTTATCTTCGAGGTGGCCTGTGGGTGACCGAAGTCCCCTCGCCACCTGGACAGTGAGGTTCCGTGTCACAAACTGTCCCTAGAAGCCCAGCTGCCCCATGTCCCTGTCGTGCCTGTGACTGACTTTAGTCTCCATGCTTGCTTGTTGGCTTCAGACGCGGCAAGTTTTGGAGGAACTGACTGAGCTTCCTGTGATGGTTGAACTTGCTAGTGATTTTCTGGACAGGAACACACCTGTGTTCAGGGATGACGTTTGCTTTTTCATCAGCCAGTCAGGTAAGGGACACAGGCATTGTGGCCAGCCTTGCATCAGGTCAGCTCTGGGCTCTCTCCTCTTCTCCTTCATTCAGTTAAGTCCTCTGCATGGCTACCCTGTGCTGCGAACCCTCTCTTGCAGCGGTCATTTAACCCGTAGAGCCATGGATTACTGTCGCCATTGTACGGGGAGGGCAAGAGATGTCTAAGGCCATGCAGTCAGGGGGTGACAGCTGGGATTGGGCTGGAAATCCACGCACGTTAGTCTTTCCCCTGCCCCGTGGCTTCTCCCTCTTCTTGCCTATCCAAGACTTCAAGGACCACTTACCGAAGTGCTCATAAATGTTTGCTGATTTATGTTAATAGAAAAAGCATCTCCTTTAACATTTTGTTAGGTTGAGAGTCACGTGGAGGACCCAGTATGGGCTCTGTGCCCAAGTGTCCAAGCCGAGCTGCCTGTGGCATGCAGTGCCCATGCTGCCCAGCAGGGGGAGGTGTGGGGGAGACAGTGCTCCCTTTTAGGGCCAAGGAAGGTCTCCCAAGCTACATGCACCCCATCTGGTGCCATCCCAACACTGGGCTTGACATTTGCTCCAGCTGTCTCAGGGAGGTGATCCAGGGCCATAGGCTTGGAGTCTCCTTGAGCTCGTGGAAGATTTTTGAAATGTTTTAATTACGGATAATTCCAAGCCTTTATAAAAGTAGAATTTTCATATAATGAATATCCTAGCCTTATCCAGCCCATCTTGTGCCGGTCGGACACACTCATATTAACCCCTCGTCTCCATGGGGTTACTTTGAAGCCAATCCCGGGCATCATGATATTCATCCATATAAATACTTCAGGCTGCATGATTAAAATGACAAAAGAAAAACATATAACCGGCCGGGCGCGGTGGCTCACGCCTGTAATCCCAGCACTTTGGGAGGCTGAGGTGGGCGGATCACGAGGTCAGGAGATTGAGGCCATCCTGGCTCACACAGTGAAACCCCGTCTCTACTAAAAATATAAAACAATTAGCCGGGCGTGGTGGCGGGCGCCTGTAGTCCCGGCTACTCAGGAGGCTGAGGCAGGAGAATGGCGTGAACCCGGGAGGCGGAGCTTGCAGTGAGCTGAGATCGCGCCACTGCACTCCAGCCTGGGCGACAGAGCGAGACTCCGTCTCAAAAAAAAAAAAAAGAAAAAGAAAAACGTATGACCACGGTGTTACTACCACAACTAAAATACTGATTGTAATGCCCTATCATCTATTAGGACTTTTAGTACTCCTGCCATTTTCCATTTTAAATACCATTTCCATTTTGTTGACAAGTGAAGAAAAACCAGTACAGATACACCGACCATCCGGCCCACCACCTTATGACGCAGGAGCTGCTGCCGTGTTCACCTTTGGGTTTCTGATCCCACCAGAGCCTCAGACTATTTTATAAATTGGTGGGAGACATTAACAAAAGAACAGAGGTGGAGCTAATATGAAAATAATGCAGTGGCAGCTTCCGAATCTCTGTGTGTATAGAAGTCAGCCCTTTAATGAGATTGAAAAAACACTATCGAACCCTAGGGCGCGGGTGACAGAAGTTAGAACCCCCTTTCCCGCACCCTCACCGCAGTACCCCGTGACACTCCAGTGCCATAACCCAGGGCTCTGAAGAAAGAAAAGCAGAGGAGAATTGGGCCACCTAGCACCGGGCGGCACCTGCCTGCCCTGCAAAGCTGGGACAGACACAGCCAAGAGCAGTGGCCCTGCAAACAGAACAGCCTCCCGACTCATGAGGATTTCAACAGTTTTGATTTTATAGTCTGGCTTATGCTGAATTTAATTTGAGTGCTTTAGGACTCACAAACATAGGGAGCTTGTGCTGGTTTATGCATGAAGCTGTTTAGCTTTATTCTAAAAACAATTTGAGTCCACACTGAGAGGCTTGCAAGAAGTGTCCTTTCAAACAGGATCTAGCTGAGAAACACCACTTGGGGACATTCCTGCTTGTCAGATGTTAAATCTGTTCCATCTCAGCACGTTCTGAATAAGGCAGCTTATTCAGTTGCAGAGAGGGCGCTGGGAGCCAAGCCCACCTGTCACCAGCTGTATGGCTTTGATCAGAGCACCGGTTTCCTCCTGTCTCTGAGCCCTCATCCTCAAGAGGAAAATGGGGACGATGGTCCTCACGGGGTTGTCACGAGATTTAAATGAAAAGATGCTTGCCACAAATAGTAACACACCTTGAATGTAAGAATCAACCGAAAAGGCTGTTGAGCGAGCGTTTTCCTTTCTGAACACCCGCTGGCTGTGTCTCGGGCGCCGATTTCCCTGTAAGAGCCGGCGGTGAAGGAGGAAGGG
The DNA here is from genome assembly GCF_000001405.40 of Homo sapiens. Classification (NCBI taxonomy): domain Eukaryota; kingdom Metazoa; phylum Chordata; class Mammalia; order Primates; family Hominidae; genus Homo; species Homo sapiens. Next base: position 180,314,022 of record NC_000005.10, on the reverse strand, counting down.
GTTTGGGGTGGGGCCGAGGCTGGCGGAGCGCGGCACTGAGAGGGCCCCTGGGCGGCAGGCGAGACCGCGGACACCCTCCTGGCGCTGCGCTACTGTAAGGACCGCGGCGCTCTCACCGTGGGCGTCACCAACACCGTGGGCAGCTCCATCTCTCGCGAGACCGACTGCGGCGTCCACATCAACGCAGGGCCGGAGATCGGCGTGGCCAGCACCAAGGTAGGAGGAGCCACGGGCGCCCGTCCCAGGGAGAGCCTGGCGGAGGCAGGTGCACCAGAGGCCGCCCTCCTCCGGCCTGCTCTGCCCGCGCCACCGCCTTTCTTTCCCCTTCCCGCCTCACCCCTTCTCTCCGCTCCTTTCCTTTCCCCTCCCCTCTTGGATTCCCGTATCTTCATTTTTTTTATTTTTATTTTTATTTTATTTATTTATTTTTTTTGAGACGGAGTCTCACTCTGTCGCCCAGGCTGGAGTGCAGGGGCGCGATCTCGGCTCACTGCAAGCTCCGCCTCCCGGGTTCACGCCATTCTCCTGCCTCAGCCTCCCGAGTAGCTGGGACTACAGGCACCCGCCCCACACCCGGCTCATTTTTTGTATTTTTAGTAGAGACGGGGTTTCACCGTGTTAGCCGGGATGGTCTCGATCTCCTGACCTCGTGATCCGCCCGCCTCGGCCTCCCAAAGTGCTGGGATTACAGGCGTGAGCCCCCGTGCCCGGCCCCCATATCTTCATTTAGTCTCATTTTATTCCCATGCCACGTTCCTGTGTTTCGTCCATGTTGTCCTGTGGCTCTTTGAGCACCTTGGAGATGCTTATTTTAAAGTCCTTTAGGGCTGGCACGGGGCTCCCCCCTGGAATCCCAGCACTGTGGGAGGCTGAGGCGGGAGCATCCCTTGAACCCAGGAGTTCCAGACCGCCCCGGGCAACCCCGTCCCTTCAAAAATAAAACTTAGGCCAGGTGCGGAGACTCAGGCCTGTAATCCCAGCACTTTGGGAGGCCGAGGCAGGGGGATCACCTGAGGTCAGGGGTTTGAGACCATCCTGGCTAACACGGTGAAACCCCGTCTCTACTAAAAACACAAAAATTAGTCGGGTGTGGTGGCGGGTGCCTGTAATCCCAGCTACTCGGGAGGCTGAGGCAGGAGAATCGCTTGAACCTGGTAGGTGGAGGTTGCAGTGAGCCGAGATCGAGCCACTGCACTCCAGCCTGGGTGACACAGCAAGACTTTGTCTCAAAAACAAAATAGAAATAAATAAATAGATAAATAAAACCTAAAAATTAACTGGGCAGGGTGGTGGCACCTGTAGTCCCAGTTACTCGGGAGGCTGAGGTGGGAGAATCACTTGAGGAGGTTGAGGCTGCAGTGAGCCGTGATCTCGCCACTGCACTCAGGCGTGAGCAACAGAGTAGACCCTGTCTCAAAAATAAAAGTTGATTTAAAAAGTGAAAATAAGGTCCCTGCCACCTCCTTCTTTGTGCACAGGCTTATACCAGTCAGTTCATCTCTCTGGTGATGTTTGGTTTGATGATGTCTGAAGACCGAATTTCACTACAAAACAGGAGGCAAGAGATCATCCGTGGCTTGAGATCTTTACCTGGTATGTTCTAGAATTCAGCTTTCCATGTTTTCAGATCTAGTGGACTGTTGCTGGCCATTCTCTGTTGACTCTCACCTGTACAGGATGTTGTTCATTTCTTCTTCCTCCTAAAACTTCCTAGCTTCCCCAACTCCCTCCTGGAGGCCTTGCTGCCTCTGACCTCATCCTGCTCGGCCCCCACCTCCCCCTGCGCTGCCGCGCTGCCTCCCTGCCTCCCTGCCTCCCTGCCTCCCCGCCTCCCTGGTCCTCAGCCTCCCTGCCTCCCTGGTCCTCAGCCTCCCTGCCTCCCTGGTCCTCAGCCTCCCCGCCTCCCTGCCTCCCTGGTCCTCAGCCTCCCTGCCTCCCTGGTCCTCAGCCTCCCCGCCTCCCTGCCTCCCTGCCCCTCAGCCTCCCCACCTCCCCGCCTCCCTGCCTCCCTGCCCCTCAGCCTCCCCACCTCCCTGCCTCCCTGGTCCTCAGCCTCCCTGCCTCCCTGGTCCTCAGCAGTGCTCAGTGCTTTCTCACCGCAGGGCCTTCGCACTGGCTCTTTACTCTGCTGAACCATCTTCTTCCTGCTCTGCATACAGCCGACAGCTTCTCATCTCCCAAACCTCAGCTCAAATGTCACCTCCTGAGACCCTCCCTGGCCATGCTCACAGAGGCCCCGACGCCAGCACTCTGTGAAACATTAGCCTGTTTATTTTTTTCATAACACACCTCATGACCTGAAATTCCCTGTTCACCTGTTGACTGGCCTGTCTCCCCCAACTAACATGTCGGCTCCGTGAACACACAGCTCTGTCTGCCAGAGCTGCCACTGGACAGCTGGTGTCCAGCACAGGGCAGGCATACAGTAGGTGCTCAGTAAGTACTCGAGAAAGAGCAAATGGCCCCAGGTCCTTCCTATGCCAGGCGCTCCTTGGCAGCCCCACCACACTTTCCCCGTTTGCTGGGCAGCAGCAGTCGCAGCTGTCGTAGCTGGTGAGATACAATATCTGTTGCACTAAATCATGACCTCCTTGGGGACCGTGGCCTCCCCTTTCTTCATTCATCCACCACATATATTAAGAACCAGTGCCGTGCCCTGTCCCATGTGCTATCCCTGGCCTGCCAAGATAAGCAGCAGCTCACCTCCTTCAGTCACTCACATGCCAGAGTAGGAGAGAGACTTCTGTGCAGGCCTGAGAGGCGGAGATGAATCGAGCCTCGCCCCAGGCTGGCATGGAACGCTCACTGCGGACAGGACATCATGGGGCTTCTGGGGAGTGCCCTCCCAGAGACAGAGTGGACGCTGGAGCTTCCCTGGGAGCCAGGGCCAAACCCCAGAGCAGGCAGTTGGGGAAGGGCCATCATAGAGAATGGTCAATTCCAGGCCCTCGGGGCCTGACACTGGCCGAGACAGCTTGCTGAAAGTTTATTTCTGAGAAAAGCATTCTTCCTTTAAGCCAGGTCATAACCATGCAAAACAGGACCCAATTCTGACGTCTAAGTCAGTGGTTCTCCAGATGTGGTCCACAGGTCCTGGGTGTCTGCAAAGCCCTTTGAACAAAATTGTTCACATAGTAATACATTCTTTATACTAAAAATTTTTTTTTTTTTTTTTTTTTTTTTTTTTTTTGCCTGTGTCCACATTTGCAAAGGCAGTGGTGGCTGTGCCCGGCACCCAGCACACTAGAAGGCCTACTGGTCATTGTGTCCTTCACCAGCACACACCCAGTTTCCCTTAAGAATGGCCTTGATGGCCGGGCGCGGTGGCTCACGCCTGTAATCCCAGCACTTTGGGAGGCTGAAGTGGGCGGATCACCTGCGGTCAGGAGTTCGAGACCATCCTGGTCAACATGGTGAAACCCCATCTCTACTAAAAACACAAAAAGCAGCTGGATGTGGTGGCAGGTGCCTGTAATCCCAGCTACTCGGGAGGCTGAGGCAGGAAAATCACTTGAACCCAGGAGGCAGAGGTTGCAGTGAGCCAAGATTCTGCCACTGCACTCCAGCCTGGGCAACAGAGTGAGACTCCATCTCAAAAAACAAAAAAGAATGGCCTTGATGGTGAGGCGCAGTGGCTCACGCCTGTAATCTCAGTACTTTGGGAGGCCGAGGTGGGCAGATCGCCTGAGGTCAGGAGTTCGAGACCAGCCTGGCCAACATGGTGAAACCCCATCTCTACTAAAAATACAAAAATTAGCTGGGCGTGCTAGTGGGTGCCTGTAATCCCAGCTACTTGGGAGGCTGAGGCAGGAGAATTGCTTGAACCCAGGAGGCGGAGATTGCAGTGAGCCGAGATTGTGCCATTGTACTCCAGCCTGGGCGACAAGAGCGAGACTTCATCTCAAAAAGAAAAGGCTGGGCACGGTGGCTCATGCCTGTCATCCTAGCACTTTGGGAGGTCGAGGCAGGCAGATCATGAGGTCAGGAGATCGAGACCATCCTGGCTAACATGGTGAAACCCCGTCTCTACTAAAAATACAAAAAATTAGCCGGGCGTGGTGGTGGGCACCTGTAGTCCCAGCTACTCGGGGGGCTGAGGCAGAAGAATGGCGTGAACCTGGGAGGCAGAGTTTGCAGTGAGCCGAGATCGCACCACTGCACTCCAGCCTGGGTGACAGAGTGATACTCCATCTCAAAAAAAAAAAAGGAATGGCCTTGATGAGGTGGTAAAAATTATTAGTCTGTAAATTGCAACTCTTTGTAATATCCTTTATGATGAAATGGGGAGTACACGTAGCGCCTTTCTACTGGGGCCAGGCGTGGTGGCTCATGCCTGTAATCCCAGCACTTTGGGAGGCCAAGGCGAGCGGATCACCTGAGGTCAGGAGTTCGAGACCAGCCTGACCAACGCAGTGAAACCCCATCTCTACTAAAAATAGCTGGGTGTGGTGGTGTGCGCCTTTAATCCCAGCTACTTGGGAGGCTGAGTCAGGAGAATCACTTGAACCTGGGAAGCAGAGGTTGCAATGAGCTGAGATCACGCCGTTGCACTCCAGTCTGGGCAACAAGAGCAAAACTCCGTCTGGAAAAAGAGAAAAAGCCTTTCTGCTCTACACTGAAGTGTGATGCTTGTCTCAAGAGAAGCAGCCATCCCATTGAGTAGCAAGCTGATTTTGGTGTTTGTTAGACATTTTCTCAAAATGAAAAATCAGCTGACGCATCAGTAGAAGCAACCCATGGTATTTGTTGCCAATGATAAACTTTAAGCTCCCAGGCAAAACTTTTGAGTGTTAGAAAACACCTCTGTTACCATGAGCTTGACCAGTTCCTAACATTTAAAGACTTCTCTAGGGCCGGGCACGGTGGCTGATGCCTGTAATCCCAGCACTTTGGGAGGCCGAGGTGGGTGGATCATGAGGTCAGGAGTTCAAGACCAGCCTATCCAAGATGGTGAAACCCCATCTCTACTAAAAATATTTAAAAAATTTAGCTGGGTGCAGTGGCAGGCACCTGTAATCCCAGCTACTCAGGAGGCTGAGGCAGGAGAATCACTTGAACCCGGGTGGCCGAGGTTACAGTGAGCCGAGATCGTGCCACTGCACCCCAGGTTGGGTGACAGAGTGAGACTCTGTCTCAAAAAAAAAAAAAAGTCTTCTCTGATGAGATCAAGGTGACTTCAACAAGGTGATTTTTAAAGAACATTTTATAATAAAAGTGTCCATTTTAAGAAGATTTACATACCTTTGTGGCCAGTTCACGATGTCACAGAGTTATGCACTTGTAAATGATCCATTTAAAAGCACAAGACAGAAAAATAAATTTTAACCTAACAAAGTAGAAAAAGTTTATTGATAGGATTTCAGATTCTATATTGGCACCTACCCTTTCAAGAACCTACTGTTTCTCAAGTTTGATGTACTGTGGTGTCAAAGAACAATATTCACAATTATTTGTAAAATAATTTAAATACTCCTCGCTTTTCCAACTACAAATCTGTATTTGTAGGCTGAATTTTATTTTTATACTTCAACCAAAAGAGCTTATCACCACAGATTGAATGTGAAAGCAGATATTAGAGTCAACAGTCTTTTATTAAAAAGGCAGACACTAAAAAGATTTGCAAGAACAAAAAGCAGTGCCATTCTTCTCACTAATTCTTGTTGGAAATGAAGTAATGTAATAGATTTAGTGTTGTTATTTTAAAGTGAATATTTTTAAATTTCTCATTGTTAGTTTCTTTCTTTCTTTTTCTTCTTTTTTTTTTTTCGAGATGGAGTCTCGCTCTGTTGCCCAGGCTGGAGTGCCGTGGTGCCATCTCAGCTCACTGCAAGCTCCGCCTCCCAGGTTCACGCCACTCTCCTGCCTCAGCCTCCCGAGTAGCTGGGACTACAGGCGCCCGCCACCATGCCCGGCTAATTTTTTGTATTTTTAGTAGATACCAGGTCTCACCATGTTAGCCAGGATGGTCTCGATCTCCTGACCTCGTGATCCGCCTGCCCCAGCCTTCCAAAGTGCTGGGATTACAGGCGTGAGCCACCGCACCCAACCACGCCCGGCTAATTTTTTGTATTTTTAGTAGAGACGGGGTTTTACCATGTTAGCCAGGATGGTCTCGATCTCCTGACCTCATGATCCACCCGCCTCGGCCTCCCAAAGTGCGGCGATTACAGGCGTGAGCCACCACGCCTGGTCCTCAGTGTTATTTTCTAATCTGGTAAATGTTGACAGATTTAACTCAAAAACAAAGGCTCTTGGGGATGTGCAATAATTTGAGGGACTTGCAATAATTTTCAAGAGTGTAAAGGAGTCCTGAGACCAAAGGGTTTGAGAACCGGTGGTCCCACTTACAGGGGCCTTGTCTTGAGACACAGCAGGAAAGAGGGGTGTTAACTGGTGGTGTCAGCTCTGTCTCCAGTGGGTGATTTTTGCCTCTCTGAGCCTCAGTTGTCTTACCTGCAAAACGGAGTGAGAAATGGTACTTCCTACCTTGTTGGTGCTCAAGAAAGTGTTCACACAACACGAATCCCCATCCTAACAGAATCCTGGCCAGGAGCCCAAGTTATTTCCTGTAATCTACGTTTGAAACGAATGCGAGGAAGCAAAGTGTGCTAAGTGATGCGGTTTCAAAAGCTCCTCTTAAACCCCAGCATTTGTCTTCATGAATATTGCTTTAAAGTCGGCCTGACTGGTTTTCTCCCTCTGCTCCGTGCATGGCCCAGAGCTGATCAAGGAAGTGCTGTCTCTGGAGGAGAAGATCCACGACTTGGCCCTGGAGCTCTACACGCAGAGATCGCTGCTGGTGATGGGGCGGGGCTACAACTATGCCACCTGCCTGGAAGGAGCCCTGGTGAGCCCCCACCCCCAGCCCCCACCCCCACGGAGGACAGGCACAGGAGACCCTGAGGAGCCAGCGGGAAGGAGGGCAGGGCGTTGGGCTTGGGGAGGGCCGGGCCTAAGGACCCCTTGGCCAGTCCTGTGAGCCTGCGCTGAGCACCAGCTCTCCACCAGGTTTCTAGCCCTGGGCACACAGAGATGGGTGAGGCAGGTGCCTGCCCCCAGGGATCTCCCAATCTACTGAGGAGAAAGGGACAGGGCGCCTGGGGTGTGCCCCTCCGGCTGTCCAGGCACTGCCAGGGTCCACTTGGAACAGCTCACTCAGACCTCATGAGCTGCTTCTGAGAGGTTGGCGGTTGCTATTCACCCTCATTCAGGAGGAAACAAAGCCTCTGAAAGCTTAAGTATCTCACTCAAGATGACGTAGGGGACCCGAATCAGACCTGAGTCCATGGGGCCTTCGCTTTTTTCCACCAAAATTGAGGGGTGGGTTCTCCGCAGAGTTTCCTTGTTACCCCTCAAACTTCCAAGGGGAGTTTGAGATCCTGCAGGAATTAACTTCGAAGGCCTTGCTTTTTCAAAAATTGGTGACAGGCCATTTGCCCCCTGCAGCATTAAAGATCCACGCCAGGAAAGAGAAAGCTGATGGGGCAGGGACAGGGTGCCAGGGCCACAGGGCTGCCCAGAGGGTGGGCAGAGAGCCGTGCAGGGTCCTGCATCTCGGACTTGCCCTTTCCTCGCTGTCAGCATGCCATGCACGGAGCAGATGCTCAGCCCAGGTGACGGGGACAGTGCTCCAGCTGAGGCTGCACTGGCCACCAAGACGAGGGCATTAACCGTGGCCCAGCTGGGCTGCCATCCTCTCCCATCTCCTCCCCACCACCCCCATTTGAAAGACAATGCTAGGCTGGCACAGTGGTCCACGCCTGTAATCCCAGCACTTTGGGAGGCCAAGGCAGTCAGATCATTTGAGGTCAGGAGTTCGAGACCAGCCTGGACAACATGGTAAAAGCCCATCTCTACCAAAAATTCAAAAACTAGCTGGGCGTGGTGGTGCACGCCTGTAATCCCAGCTACATGGGAGGCTGAGGCAGGAGAATCGCTTGAATCCAAGAGGAGGAGGTTGCAGTGAGCCAAGATCATGCCACTGCACTCCAGCCTGGGAGACAGAACGAGACTCCCATCTCAACGAAAAAAAAAAAAAAGAAAGAAAGAAAAAAAAAAGAAAGACAATGCCAGTTACAAGTGGTTACCGGAAACATTCAGAGTTGATTTCCTTGGTCTTGGTGGGGAGTGCAGGGCTGTCCTCACTGAGCTCCATCTCCTGCACCTGCCCCCTGGAGATTCTGACTCCTGTTAAAGAACAGGCAGGTGCTGCTTCTTGGAGTGCAGTAGAGGCAAGGCCTGGGGTGCACTGTCAGTCCCCAGATGACTCTGCGTCATGGGTGGGGGCTGAGCTGCGGTGGCTGAACGTGCTGGCGGGAGATGCACATTGCAGCTATGCCTCCGCATGAGTCTGCTGAAGGAAGAAGCGTTTAGGTGGCTGCTGGCACGAGCCCATGGTCCTCTGGTCACTGGGAGGCCGGCACTGCAGCTGTCTGCGCCTCCAGACTGGAGCCGCACTCCTTACAGTGTGGCCCTGACCTAAATCAGCAGTGCTAGCGGGGAGTCGAGAGATGATTTATTTGACTGTCTCACCATTTCAATGACGTGGATTTGTGGTAACTGAATAGAGATGGATCTACCTGAACACAGGAAAAAAATTAATTCAAATAACACCCCAGTTTGTGTGATTTTGCTTGGAACCACTCTTTAGAAGTTATTAATGGGCAAATGCTTAATCAGATAATTAACTGAAGGTGTAGCTAAGCTGAATACGATGCTGTCGTTATACACGTGGCTGGCTAGGGAGGAGCAGGGGGTGAGCTAGGCTGACTCCGACTTGTTTGTCCTAAGGGGTGGCTGTGCGTGGGACTGGAGAGAGACAACAGCAGTGCCCGGGGCTGGTGTGGGGACACAGAGGTTGTGTCCCGGGCTGGTGCATGCTCTGGATGGTAGCCAGGCCTCTCCCCAGGCCCTTGCTGGGTGTCCTCAGTGCTGTCAAGCACTCCAGGCATCTGTCTGCCTTGCAACCCTTGGCTCTCTGCCTTCCAGAGTCATCCTTCCCCTGGTTCCCCTTCTTCCCCTCTGGCTGATCTGCTCCAGCCCCATCTGCCCAGTGTGACTCTGATCTCACCTCCTGTTTCCAGAAAATTAAAGAGATAACCTACATGCACTCAGAAGGCATCCTGGCTGGGGAGCTGAAGCACGGGCCCCTGGCACTGATTGACAAGCAGATGCCCGTCATCATGGTCATTATGAAGGATCCTTGCTTCGCCAAATGCCAGAACGCCCTGCAGCAAGTCACGGCCCGCCAGGTGAGGGCTCTCCACTGGACTGGGCCAGCTCTCTCCTGCTTTTCCCCATGCATGCCCACCTCACCACTGTCTGCCAGTACCAGTGATGGATGGTCTGGCCAGTGAGTGGCTGTGACCACACACCCTCCCCCGGGCCGCCTGTGGGGAGTGCACACACTTGGAAAGGAGCTGGTCAGCCCGCAGCTGTCCCACACAGCTCTTTGGTGGGGCCCAGGGACCCACACTGCTGTGAGCAGCACCAGATCCTAGCCTGGAGCTCAGGGGAGGTACTCCTGGTGGACATCCCTGGGGCAGGGTTTCCCCAGGTTCTGCGGCCAAGCAGCTCCGATGGGAACTACCTGGAGTTAGGTCAGGTCTCATAGGGCAGGGGCACAGCTTTCCATAAGACTGCCCTCGATTCAGGCACCTGTTGCAAGCCAGGGGTCCACCCACACATCTGAGCAACTGACTATGAATCCAAGGATTCCCACTCTCCCCTGAAGTTCAGTAATTTTCTAGAACGACCCATAGAACTCAGGAGATGACTATATGATTACAGTTTTATTATAAAAGATATAAATCACAGCCAACCCAAAAGAAGAGACCCCTAGTTTGAGGGCCCCAGATGTGAAGCTTGTGTCCTCAGGATGTGTCACCCTCCCAGCACGTCACTGTGTGTCGCCCGGGAGCTCCCCTGAGCTGCTAGCTCCAGTGTCCAGAGTTTGTATTGTGGTTTTATTAAGTAGGCAGGATGGAGTGAACCATTGGCCATGTGATCAAACTCAGTCGCCAGCCCCACTTTTGTCCTTGGAGGTTGGGAGGTCAGACTGACAGGCTCATGTCTCAAAGCCCCAACCTTCTAATCATGTGGCTGGCCTTTCTAGCAGGGCCAGACGCCATCCTGGAACTATCTACAGGCCCACCACGAGTCGTCACCTTAGCATAAAGTTAGGTATAGTCCAAGGGACCTCCCATAAATAACAAAGATGCTTTTGTCACATGGGAAAGTCCAGAAGCCAGGAGCTCCCTTCCTGGAACCGGCCACAAAGACCAACCAAATGCTTTGTACACAGCAGCTGCCCTGAGGTAGGAGGGCAGAGTTCATGAAGTTTCGGGGAGGTGAAATCCAATGAGGTGCCCCATCCAGATGTTGCCACCTGGCTCAGCACAGAGGTCAGAGTGAGGGTATAAAACACAATGGCATCATTTCCCCACTTAAAACCCTCCCATACCTGCCTGTCAAGCCACAGAGACCCACAGTCCTGCGTTATCTGGCCCTTTCCTCCTGTTTCAGTGAGTTCCAGGCACTCCAGCTTTCCTTCTGCGTCCCACTCTCATTGCGCCCGCGCCCGCCTCCGGGCCTTTGCGCTGGCCGCTCCTGCTGTCTGGAATGCCCTTCCCACAGAATGCTCCGCCGAGGGTTGTCCCCTCATCATTTAGGGTTCAGTCCAGATGTCTCCTGTTTTTGAGAGAGCTTTGGAGACCTCACCAGTCTCCCAATGACATTATCCTGTTTTCTAGCCTTGGTGGCATTTCTTTGGAATTCATTTTTTTTTTTTTTTTGTGACGGAGTCTGGCTCTGTCGCCCAGGCTGGAGTGCAGTGGCGCCATCTCGGCTCACTGCAAGCTCCGCCTCCCAGGTTCACGCCATTCTCCTGCCTCAGCCTCCCCAGTAGCTGGGACTACAGGCCCCCGCCACCACACCCGGCTAATTTTTTGTATTTTTTAGTAGAGACAGGGTTTCACCATGTTAGCCAGGATGGTCTCGATCTCCTGACCTCGTGATCCACCCGCCTCAGCCTCCCAAAGTGTTGGGATTACAGGCGTGAGCCACCACGCCCGGCCTGGAATTCATCTTTATTTCTTGGTTTGCTTGTCTAGGTTTTTGTTTTCTACCACTAGACTATGAGCCCCGCTAGAGTTAGGAGTGAGTCTGCCCCGCTCTCGGCAAGGCACAAATGGGTGCCAAATGATGCAGCAGGATGGCAATCTCCTTACCAGGGAAGGGGAAGAAACCCCCAAAAAGCATCAGACACTTTATCCTTTCCAAGCATTTGTGTCCCACACATACCACCTCACCCATGACTCCAGCAAATGCAAAAGAGGACTGTTCTCATCACAGTAATGTAGCTTCCAGATACTCTGTATGCATCAGGGATAGCTTCTTTCAGAGAGGGTCTATTTTATGATGCTATTTCTCTGCTCTAGGGTCGCCCCATTATACTGTGCTCCAAGGACGATACTGAAAGTTCCAAGTTTGCGTATAAGACAATTGAGCTGCCCCACACTGTGGACTGCCTCCAGGGCATCCTGAGCGTGATTCCGCTGCAGCTGCTGTCCTTCCACCTGGCTGTTCTCCGAGGATATGACGTGCGTCTAAAAACTGCACCTAACAGCAGAGAGGAGAGACATAACCCCAGAGTTCCTTTCTGTTCTTTAAATACTTGGAGTAAATAGTCATAGAGTAAATAATTTTATTTAAAGTAGCTTTCTTTTTTTTTTTTTTGAGATTGAGTCTCGCTCTGTCGCCCAGGCTGGAGGGCAGTGGCACAACCTCGGCTCACTGCAAGCTCCACCTCCTGGGTTCAAGCGATTCTCCTGCCTCAGCCTCCCGAGTAGCTGGGACTACAAGCACCCGCCACCATGCCTGGCTAATTTTTTGTATTTTTTGTAGAGACGGGGTTTCACCGTGTTAGCCAGGATGACCTTGATCTGACCTCGTGATCCACCTGCCTCAGCCTCCCAAAGTGCTGGGATTACAGGTGTGAGCCACCGCACCCGGCCCAGTAGAAGCGTACTTATGAACCATTCCTACCTTTCCTTCCCACTCCACCCTAAACAAATAAGTCCCATGGAATTCATATATATTCTTGCAAGAAAAGTTAATTTTTAACAGTACACACCAAGTTACCTGTGTTTAAAAGCATGAACCTTATTCTTTAAATCATGTTAACAGATCATGACACACATCAGGTGCACAGTAAATGTTTATTGAGGGACTAAACCTTATACGGTTAAATGAGGCTTCTGGACTAAGGAATCTGCCTCCAAGACGCAGGTCTCTAGGTTGGTGACCATGGTGAACATCTGTCTCTTGTTTTTAAGTACTCTGAAAATTGTCTGTGAGAGGTAGCATGTTGCTGAGATCTTTGGGGTCCTGAACAGTCACTTTCTTTCATTTTAGGTTGACTTCCCCAGAAATCTGGCCAAGTCTGTAACTGTGGAATGAGGCTGAGACCGTGACAAGACCATCACCACCTTTCATCTGATTCCAGACCTGTCCCAACAGCAGGGATGCTACATGGGAAGAGAAGTGGACATCCCACATGTTCTGCGTGCTCCTGTAGAGCTTGACAGCTTCCACGTGCCTTCTACCCAAGTGCTTTTGCTTACAGCAGATACTGTTTCTCTGTGTCCTGAAGTCGCCAGAGGAGAAGGGAATCATTGTTTACACATGGGGATCAGAGCAGACTTCTCCACTACTGTGCAATAGAGATACAGCTCTCTTCAGAGTAACTGTGAACCTTTTATAACCAACACTAGAGTTAGTTTTAAAAGACAAGATATTTATAATGACGACTGTATAGCTTTTAAGTTATTTTTCTAGTATGTGGCTTTCTGTAGCCGTGGTAACGGCCAAACTGTTCATCCTAGCTACCCATGCTCTGTGTCCAGGCTTGCTCCTGGCAGGTGGCATTCATCTCAGATGTGAGCACAAGGCATTGGCCCTCTGGACTCCTTTCTCCTTTTCTTTCCTCTCTAGGCTGCTCCTGAATCCTGTTCTCTGACATCCGTGGAGCCCCTCCTGCATCCACCTATGCCTCCTATAAGTCCAGTTGAAATCTCAGCCTCCTTCAACATTTTCTTCTCGTGTGTGGCCCACATCCCTCCACTTCTCCAACTTCTGTTTAATCTGATCACGGCTCTTTTTAAGCCCTGGCAGCATTTTGGTCCCTGCTCCTTGCCCATAGTAAAACAGCTTGAAATATCCCATGCAAGAGAGTAGTTTCAAGTGGGCAACTCTGCTCTCTATTTAAAAGCGTGCACAATCAAAAGTACTATGCAATTTTAGGACAATAAAGAACATACAGTTTTTTTGTGTGTGTTTGCATTTTGTTAACCTCATTCTTTTTGTGTACTTTGAATTTTGAGGACTGTGCAGGAGCTCGGCAGTGTTTGGAGGGGCAGCCCTGTTTGTTAGTAACATTGGCCTCGTCCACACCTGAGACCTATGGGTTTCTAGTAGGAAAAGGAGGGCTGTTGTCCAGGATACAACAAATCCAAGAGATTTGGGACTCAGCAGAGGGGCCACTGAACCTGGAAGGGGTTGGGCAGAACCTGTAGACAGCATAGAGGGGTGAAACTCTCAAATTTGTATTTTTTTCCCAATAAGGCTATTATAGTCCCTGGTTTCATTAATACAATCAGATGGAAAGATTGAAAGCCAGAGAGTTCTGAAGTTTTGTGAAGTCAGAACTTAGGCTTCCTACGTAAGTGCTGTCACACACAACCTGAATGATGTCTTCATGACAACGGGTGTGTGTAGCCCTAGTATCTCATAAACCCTGTCCAGGATTACCTATGGGCTACTCAGCAAATTTCCATCCTGTCCTATGCCCTCACCTGTATCATGGGCTGGAAACCTGGGAGCTACATTTCCAGTTATCCACCATCCTGTCCTATGCCCTCACCTGTATCACAGGGGCTGGAAACCTGGGAGCTACATTTCCAGTTATCCACCATCCTGTCCTATGCCCTCACCTGTATCACAGGGGCTGGAAACCTGGGAGCTACATTTCCAGTTATCCACCATTCTGTCCTATGCCCTCACCTGTATCACAGGGGCTGGAAAGCTGGGAGCTACATTTCTAGGTTATCCACCAGTGAGAGGCATTCATGGGAGACTTGGAAGATAGTTGAGTGGCAGAAATCATATTTTGTATTTATCTCTGGCAGAAGCAGATAGAAATGTTGCTTCAGCAAACGGGGTTCTGCTGTGGCCCTCAGGGGCTCCCCAAAACGCACCCACCTCAGCATGCCAGGCAGTGGTGACCATGAACAGAGGTCGCCTGTGGCTCCTCTAAAATCCCAACTCTGGAGAGCTGGCAGCAACCAGGTGCCACAGGGGCTTTTCCTGACTTCTGTCCTCCAGGCCCTGGGTCAGTCCCAGGGAAATGGCTAGAATAGTTTCTGTCCTACTAATCAATCCATGACCAATACAACTTCCAAGATTAGGAGACTACAAACTAGCCAGAACATTTTTCTCTGGACAAGACCTAGAAAGTGTATTTCATCCTTATGCCCAAGAGGCGACGGCCATTCTGACTTTTGTGCCAATTGTTCCCTTGCTTTTCTTTATAGTTTCACCTGTGTATCTATCCCCCAAATACACTGCCTAGTTCGAAAGTGGAGGGTGAGTGCATGCTGGCGGTGCAAGGAGAGGGCGGCACTGCCTCCACTAGACGGAGGTTCCAGGAGGTGAGCAGATCAGTCTCCAGGTCGTGGTCTGACCCCTGCTTCTCTGGGAACTGACAAGGCCCCTCCTGGGGAAGTCATGAGGAAGGTCTCGAGGAAGTCTTGGGCTCAGCACAGTCAGGCACCTGGTAGGGCCAAGGTGGGGACCACGCGCTGGACCTGCAGTGGAAATAGTCAGAGGGAGGGGGCTGACCTGTACGTCCTGCTTCTAAGCTCGCCACGGCCTGCCTCCAGCTCTCGGTGGGGGGAAAGCTGGAAACTTCTGTGAATGTTGTGCGTCCTCAGCAGAGGAGGGGAGCGCCCCTCGTCGGCACATGGCCAAGCCAAGTACCGCCAAGAACCTAGGCCAGGCTCTCCTGGGCATTTTGTCCCCGGGCTACAGATGGCCTGATGGAGGTGGGGTCTTGGTGAAGACAGTTCACCCCGTGGGTCACGCTGCTCAGTATGGCTCAGTCGCTCTCCACGTCTGGTGCAGAGCCATCACCTCAGGGTCACTTCTCGCCACCCTCCATGGGCCTCCCAGGCCATGTCTTCTGTGTTGGGTTCCTGTTTTTGTTTTTTTGTTTGTTTGCTTGTTTTTTGACAGAGTTTTGCTCTGTTGCTAGGCTGGAGTGCAGTGGCGTGATCTCAGCTGACTGCTACCTCTGCCTCCCGAGTTCAAGCAATTCTCCTGCCTCAGCCACCCAAGTAGCTGGGACTCTAGGCGTGCGCCACCACACCCAGCTAATTTTTGTATTTTTAGTAGAGACAAGGTTTCACCATGTTGGCCAGGATGGTCTCGATCTCTTGACCTCGTGATCCACCTGCCTCGGCCTCCCAAAGCGCTGGGATTACAGGCGTGAGCTGCCATACCGGCCTGGGCTCCTGTTTTCTGTATCTGTGTCTTCCTTCTTCTGAGTTTCCTTTTTTGTTCTGGTGAAGCCCATTCTTGAGAAAAGGTGCTTGAGAGGTGTCTTAAGTCAGTTCAGCCTGCTGTAACAGCCCTGGTGCCTTATAAAAATCCCACATTTCTTTCTCACAGTTCTCAACAGTGGGAAGTCCAAGATCAAGGCACCGGCAGATGTGGAGTCTTGGTGAGGGCCCATTTCCTGGTTTGTACAGAGCAGCCTTCTTGCTGTGTCCTCACATGGCAGAAGGGACAAGGGAGTTCTCTGGAGCCTCTTTGATAAGTGTACTAATCCCATTCATAAGGGCTCCACCCTCACACTCATCACCTCCCAAAGGCCTCACCTCCTAATAACATCACATGTGGCAGGGGTTAGGATTGCAACATATGAATTTGGGGAAACACAAATATTCAGGCCACAACAGAAGGCAAGTTTTTTGAGAATCTGCAGGTGTGGAAATGATTTTTTTATTTATACTTGATAGAGGGTTTAGCTAAACACACAATTCTAGGTCAGAAAAAGGTGTTCCTGCAGAATTTTAAAGGTAGTGCTTCATCGTCTTGTTCCCAGTGCTGCTATTGAGTCCAAAGTCTGATGTCTTTGTAGGTGACCTTTTGGTCTCTTTTTTGTTTCCTGTGTTCTGAAATACCACAAGTTGCCTAGAGCACATTTCATTTAGGGTTGATTGCATCTGGTAACTTTTGCCTTTCAGACTAGGAAATTTTCTTGAATTATTTTGTTGTGGATTTCTCTGTTTCTCTGTCTCTGGAGTGTCTATTATTCCCAGGGTGAAGCTGCTGGACTGGCCTCTAATTTCTTATCTTTTTTATCATTCATTTGTTGTCTTTTTGCCCTACTGAGAGATTTCAATTTTATCTCCCAACCTGCTACTAAGATTTTTCATTTCTGCCAACATGATTTAATTTTTCGAGGGTTTTTTTTTGCTCTGACTATATATATATATATATATATTTTTTTTTTTTTTTTTTTGAGATAGAGTCTCACTTCGTCACCAGGCTGGAATGCAGTGGCGTGATCTCGGCTCACTGCAAGCTCCACCTCCCGGGTTCACACCATTCTCCTGCCTCAGCCTCCTGAGTAGCTGGGACTATAGGTGCCCGCCACCACACCCGGCTAATTTTTTTTGGTATTTTTAGTAGAGATGGGGTTTCACCGTGTTAGCCAGGATGGCCTCGATCTCCTGACCTCGTGATCCGCCCACCTCGCCCTCCGAAAGTGCTGGGATTACAGGTGCGAGCCACTGTGCCCGGCCACAAACTTTTCTATTCTTCCCCATTTATTATTTCTATTAGAATGAACCATAGATATTTATTTTATATTTTGAGTCATGCCCAATACTATGTTAGTTTGTTGTTCCAATGGTTCCAGCAACAGCCACTGGGGGCTCTTTCAGTTGGCTCTTGTGTCTCTTTGACATAGCCCCATCTGTGTGTGTGTGTGTGTGTGTGTGTGTGGTAAGTACTTCCGTGTGTGTGTGTGGGGGGGTACTTCCGTGTGTGTACTTCCTTACGTGTGTGTTGTACTTCCTTGTGTGTGTGTGTGTGTGTGTGTGTGGTAAGTACTTCCGTGTGTGTGTGGGGGGGGGGGTAAGTACTTCCGTGTGTGTACTTTCTTACGTGTGTGTTGTACTTCCTTGTGTGTGTGTGTGTGTGTGTGTGTGTGTTGTAAGTACTTCCTTACCTGCACAACAATATTCTCCAGGCTCGTCTTGTCCATCCCCTGTCCCAGCCCTAGAATCAACCATTTCTCCAGGGATCCCTGGTTCCTTTTATGGCGAATGACATTAGAGAACAAGATCTGGGCTCTGGGTGTGTCAGCCACTGCTGAGATGTCATTGCTTCTAGGCCATCTCAGCTGACAGAGCAAGGCCATGTTGCATACACCTGTGCTGCATAATTTTTAAATGGCTGGTTCTTGTTTGAAGGATGCAATATTTTTTCATTCTCTCTGAAGCTAGCAGTAGTTTTATTTTTATTTTTTGAATTTTCCTTCTCCACAGAGTCTGTTTCTTTCAAGATGCAGTTTTTTGTCTTACTTTTCTTAGCCATATGACATGGAGCTGTCTGTTCAGATTCAAGGGGGGCTGACTGGAAGGTCTAAGGCATGGTAGGGCTGGTTGATGCAGGATTCACTGCTGGGAAATCTGGTGGGGGTGGGGGTGTCATAATGTTCATACCTCAGGTCTTCCCTTCAGGGCTGGTCAGACTTCTGGAGAACAGCTTGCTGGCTCCCTGCCTGAGGACAGTCCCAGCTGCTGGTGCTCTGGGGGATTCCCGGAGGAGGAGGGCTAAGGGCCACTGGGTTCAGCATTCAGTTATACAGCCCCCAAATAACCCTGTTTCCATACAGTGCCACACCCTCAGCTGCGCCCCAGCTCAGATGCCCTCATTCTAATCATCACCATGGAAGAAACTTCCAGACTTCTGCCTTTCCCAATTCTGCCCTTCCCTGCCATGTCCTCACATGAGCCTGTCTGCCCAGCATGGCTGACTAGTTCCAGAATGGAAGCCCTGTCTGGGGGACCATCAGAGTCCATTGTTGTGGGTTTTCAAACTCCATTTGGGCCTGCAGTGGCCTCCATGGCCCTAGAGTTTCCAGACCAGCTCTGCCCCTACCTCCCCTGGGTATGATGTTACAGGCACCTCCCAGTAAACGTCCCCATTGGTTTAAGTGCAGTTTAGTTTTCTACAACACACAGCTGGGACAGCCCCGACTTACACCCTCTAGCACATCTCTGGGTCCTTGTAGGGGAGAAGGGAAGATGTGGGTTAGTGCAATGGGGGGAGGGCAGGCAAAGTGTTGAGGGGACAGAGGCAGTCAGCATAAGGACCTACACCATCCCTGCTGCATGGGCCGCACCCAGCTCTTCCTGCTTCTGTCCTTCTCCATGCCACTTCCTACAGAACCAAGGCAGACAGAAGTGAATCCCTTGCCCAGAGGAGCACAGCTGACAAGAGTCGGATTGGAATCCAGGCCAGTCAAGGGTGGGGGATATCAGGATCACAGAAACCCGTTGGCACTGTGGCTGCATACACAGCTGGCCTCCGGACAGGTCCCCAATGCCCCAGGCACCCCTAGCTCCTCCACCCCGCTGTGCTCTTGTCTTAGTCTGTTTCTTATTCTGTTGCTTATAACAGAATACCTGAAACTGGGTAATTTACTTTAAAAAAGAATTTATTTGTTACAGCCCTGGGGGCTGAGAAGTCCAAGGTTGAGGGGCTGCACCTGGTGAGGGCCTTCTTGCTGCTGGGGACTCTGCAGAGTCCTGAGGGTGGCGCAGGTGTCACATGGCCAGGGGGCGGAGCATATTCACAGGCCAGCTCAGGTCTTCCTTCCTCTTCTAATGAAGTCACCAGTCCCACTCCGGTGATAACCCTTTAATCCATGAATCCATCGACAGGTTAATCCCAACCACGCTTAGAGGCCCCACCTCTCAGTACTGCCACATTGGAGATTAAGTTTGAACATGAGTTTCATTGAGGATAAACATCCAAAACAGCTCATCCCAAATCTAAATGTTTCTTAAATCAACTAATCAATTAAAAAAAGAAAACCTCTCTGGGCTGAACAAGGCGTATCAGTGAGCTAAAGCCAGCCTACATGCCTGGCAGTGCCAATCTACCTCAAGGTCCTCAGAACTCTCCAGTCCCCTCACCTTTCCCTAAGACCAGGTGACTTGTGGCTCCCTGAACACAGCAAGCAGGTCCTCACATCTGAGCATGTGGGCCTGAGCGCCCTTTCTGCCTAAGTCACAGGCCCAACACATCCTGCTCGGCAGCCTCAGCAACAACTTCCTCCTGCCCAGAAGGCCTTCCTCAATTGCTTCTCCCCACCATAGGCCGGATCAGGTGAGACGTGCTCACGTGTCACACCTGGTTCACGTATGTCGTGGCAGGATCTTTTCACTTGGAGGGTTCAACCAGGATTCTTGGTGCTGTTCCAAGGCCCCCCTCCCCACCCTGTCACCTCAGCTTTGTGTCCATAAATGTTCACTGTATTTCATAAACCAGAAAAAAAGCAGTGTCTCTGCAATAAAAAGAACTCTTACAGAAAACTTAGTGTGAGATATGTATAGCTGTGTACATATGTACACTGATTTTTGGTTACTCACTTGACATGATGTGAGTGCTATGAAGTTAGGCCTGGAGTGCTGGGAACTGGTGTCCCCTCTGTTTTTTTGTTTTTATTTTTTTGAGATGCAGTTTTTGCTCTGTTGCCCAGGCTGGAGTGCAGTGGAGCAATCTCGGCTCACTGCAACCTCTGCCTCGTGGATTCAAGTTATTCTCCTGCCTTGGTTTCCTGAATAGCTGGAATTACAAGCACCCATCACCACGCCCAGCTAATGTTTGTATTTCTAATAGAGATGACGTTTCACCATGTTGGCCAGGCTGGTCTCGAACTCCTGGCCTCAGGTGATCCACTCACCTCGGCGTCCCAAAGTACTGGGATTACAGGTGTGAGCCACCGCACCGCCTTCCTAATGAGAAGCACCCATCAGTGCTCCTTGGTGGAACCTCAGATCTGACAGCTAGGCTTTTACTCTTTTCCCATAATCCTCGATCCTGACAATTTCTGGTTTCCTGTTCTCTCTCATGCACTTGAGGCAGGTGGCAGGTGAGTCTGAGGTAGCGACAGGTGTGGGCCCTCCTCAATGCAGGCCACACTGTGACGTAGAATTTCAAGCAGCGATGAGCCATGCTCAAATTTAGAAAACTCCCTCTGGTGGCCAAGGGGGACACCATGCTGGATCCGTTCCTCTACCCCACCCCTCCTCTGAGGCTCTGGTGCCTCCAAGCGGCCTGGCCCAGACCTCAGTGCCCTTGGAACCTGGGTCACAGGCTAGCTGCCCTCCCCAAATTCTGCAACCACCCTTCACGCCACCCAGCCCCTTACCCTCCCCATCTGCAGAGTCCTGTTCCTTCTCCCCACTCTGGCCCTGGCCACTCTGTGGATCCTGGTATTGTGTTACTGCTGTTCTACACCACACTCACCATTTGTCAACCATTGTTCCCACTCTTCTAGTCCCCAAAGGCCGGCTCTCCACGGTTTTCCCCATGTGCCCAGCCTCAGTGCCTCTCTTCCTGCTTCACTTTTCAACGTAGATCTGGCAACATCCCAAGCCCCGGCCTCTCCCATCCTGTACGACCCCCAGGCCGCTGGTACCTGATCCAGCCTCAAAAGCAGCTCAGAGTCAACGGGTCCCAGTCCCTAGGGGGCTCTGAGCAAGAGACTCCTCGCCCCGCCCCCCACTCCTCTCAGAGGCTTGACTGAGCACCTCCCTTTTTTTTTTTTTTTTTTTTTTTTTTTTTTTTTTTTTTTTTGAGAGAGTCTCACTCTGTCACCCAGGCTGGAGTGCAATGGCGCAATCCCGGCTCACTGCAACCTCCGCCTCCCAGGTTTAAGTGATTCTCCTGCCTCAGCCTCCCGAGTAGCTGGGATTACAGGCGCCCGCCACCACGCCCAGCTCATTGCTTCGTATTTTTAATAGAGACGGGGTTTCACCAGGTTAGCCAGGCTGGTCTCGAACTCCTCACCTCAGGTAGTCCACCCGCCACGACCTCCCAAAGTTCTAGGATTACAGGCGTGAGCCACCGCGCCCTGCCGCACCTCCTAATTTTTAGATGTTGTCAACTAAGTGATCCCGCCACCAAGCGCAGTCTCCTCCTGCGTCACCGACCCACCGGGTCACCTGTCTACACACCGCCATCTCTTCGCACCCCCTCCCCCTCTTCGACCCGGCTTCTGGCCTCACCCACACCCCCATAGACCCGTTCCTCCGGCGCCGCAGCGAGCAACCGAGTGCGAGGCCCGCCCCGCCTACCGGGCCCTAGCACGCCGGGCTCCCGGACGCCAGGCCGGCCTCCCCCCGCGATCGCCCCGGGCTCTCCCCGAAACGGGCGGGCTCCCGTGCCGCTCCAGTCGCCTCACCGCCACAAGCCTGCACCTGCAGCCCGAGGCCCGGCTCCCCGCGGACCCCGCGGTGTGAGCCCCGCGCGCCTCCAGCCCGGTTCCCGGTCCTCCGGGCCACCCTCTCCACCGAGCTGCGCCCCCCTCGCAGGGAGAGCGGGCTCAGCCGGTGGGCCGCGCAATGCCTGCGTCTCCAGCTCACCGCGTGCACTGCGCGCACCCGAGCGCCATGGCCACTCGGCCCGCGCCACTGAAAGGCCCGGGGGCGAAGAACCCGCGGAACCCCGGCCCAGGACCTCGGGCGCCCGACCCGGCCCCCGACCCCGCCCGCGCCACCCTCCATCGGCCCGCCCCCCAGGCGCCATTGGCCGCGCCTGCTCCGCTCTCCGCGCGCTGATTGGTCGGCGCGAGGGTCTGTCAGACCGGGCGCCGCGGCGGCGGCAGCGGCGGAGAAGGGAGCGGGACCGGAAGGGTCGCAGCGCCCCGGCGCCCCTCACACCCACTGCGGCGGCGGCGGCGGCGGCGGCGGCGGGGCGGAGCGGAGCGGGGCGGGCCGGCGGCGGAGCCGGGGCCGCGGAGCCAGGAGTGACTAGCACGCAGCGCCGCCAGTCCGCCCGCCCGCCCTCTCCCCGTGGCGCGGCGGCGGGGAGGCGAGGTGAGCCCGGCGGGCGGGCTAGGCCTGGCGGCGGCTGCTCGGGCCGGGCCCGCGGGGAGGGGCGGTGAGGGAACCGCGCGGCCGGGGGCTTCGGGGCGGGCCGGGGGCTGCGGGGCCCTGGCAGCCGCAGCCGTCGCCCCTGTGCTGGGGGATGCCGCAGGCGCCCCCTTCCGCCCGGCTGTCAGCAGCCCCGGGCTGCGGGCCTGCTCACCGGCCTGGCCCGGCCGACCTGCCCGTGGGGTCTGCGGGCGCCATCCCTCCCGGAGGTGGGGCAGACAGCTGCACTCCTGCGCCGGGTGCCCAGGGGCCCGGGGTCGCGTCCCCGCGACCTTGGCCAAGGCACTGACCCTCGCTCTGCCGCGGTTTTGCCTTCGGGAAGGTGGGGAAATGTCTCTTCTGGACAGGGTTGTTGTCAGGCTGTGTGAATGTATGCAGACGCCTGGGCAGGACCCCGGTGTGCATCTGTGGAAGACTGGGCAGGGTGCTGGCCCGTGCTGGTGTGAGTGGTGTAGGAACCCCCTCCCCACCCGCCCAGCCTCCCGCCTCCCCGCGCACTCCTCTCTTGCCTTGTCATTGCACACTCGGTGTCCAGCAGTGCCAGAGGGGACCCAGCCCGAATCCCTTACCACCGCGCCCCTCCCCCAGAAGACTGCTGCCCCGTCCCACTCATCTCGCCCGCCTTGAACATGCCAGCCCGCATTTGCCCCAGGACCTTTGCATTTGCTGTTTCCCCGTCTTTGGAGTTGTCTCCGTGATCTTGGCACAAGTAGCTCTTTCTGCTCCTTCCTCTGGTCAGATGTCTCGTTTTGGGTGAGGCCCTCCTCGACCACCCTCTTTCTTCCCTTAGTCATGCTATTTCATTATTTAAAAAATTTCCTTCCTAGCTCTCATCTGGTTTGAAACTATTCTATTTATTTGCCTGCTTATTTTCTGTCTCCCCGACTAGGATGTAACTTTGTGAAAACAGGTAGCTGTCTGATTTGTCCACTGCTTTATCCCCAGTGCTTAGAAAGCACACAGGAAGTATTCAGTAGTATCAGCTCAATGAATGAATGAATGATCAAAGAAATGGCCCAGCCTGCCTGTTGTCTCTGCTTTATCTGTTCATTTAGTGACTTCTGATTAGCGTGTGAAACTTGTAAGCAGATGGAAGCTTGTTCTATTTTGTGAAACATTTTGGTGTCCTTGACCCCTTTAATTGCTAACTGTTGGAACAAGCTGTGATATAAAATCTCACATTTTTATAATAGTTTAGCTGTAGCTTTCTTCCACACATACAAGAGACATTTACTGAATTCTGCATTATCTAGGTCATGCTTTCTGCTAGACCCTACGGACACAAGGCAGATAGCAACGGGGTCCCTTTCCCGAGAGAGCCCAGGAGCCCAGTAGAGAAGGCAGGCATGCAGACACTTAGTTCCAGGACTGTACAACCCTTGCTATAGGGGAGGGGCTATGCCATGGAAATGTGGAGGAGGTGACAGGTGGTGCTGGGGGGCCTTGAGGGTGATAAGAAATTTGCTAGGCAGGGAGAGGCACAGAGGTGTGAAGGAGCAGGGCCAAGGAAGGACCGTAGGCCACTGTGGAGTTGAGAATCAGTCTGGAGGGCCAGGTGTAAGGACACAGAGTCGTGGGGACCCTAAAGAACAGGAACCTTACCCAGCAGTTTTCTAGAAGAAGGTGGAATTTGGCTGGGTGCCATGGCTCACGCCAGTAATTTCAAGACACTTTGGGAGGCTGATGTGGGAGGATCACTTCAGGCCAGGAGTTCAAGACCAGCCTGGGCAACGTAGCGAGATCTGTCTCTACAAAAAATTTTAAGAAATTAGCTAGGTGTGGTGGCATCCACCTGTAGTCCTAGCTGCTTGGGAGGCTGAGGTGGAAGGATCCCATGAGCCCAGGATTTGGAGCCTGCAGTGAGCTATGATCACACCACTGTGCTCCAGCCTGGGTGACAGAGCAAGACCCTGTCTCTAAAAAGGAAGGCAGCACTCCACATTTGTTCTGATTTTTAAATGTTGGCAATAGCTAATTAAATTTTTTTTTAATGCTGTGAGCCAAGCCAAATACAGATTCATTCAGCTTGGTTGCAGGATCGTCATCCTCCAGGACTGGCTGTGTGGGAGGGAGGAGCTGTGAGGAGAGCAGGAAAGGTAGCCTAAGGCCAGGGGAGCCAGGCCCTGTTTGCCCAGGTGCCAGCCCA
Organism: Homo sapiens; assembly: GCF_000001405.40. Classification (NCBI taxonomy): domain Eukaryota; kingdom Metazoa; phylum Chordata; class Mammalia; order Primates; family Hominidae; genus Homo; species Homo sapiens. The sequence goes on along the minus strand of NC_000005.10, from coordinate 180,289,644 downwards.
GATACTCATTTGATTGTAACTGGAGCCCTGTGGAAACGGAAGCTCAGGAGTCTAAGTAGTCTGTTTCTTAGCAAGCAGCTGGTGAGTGGAGTTCGAACCCAGATCACTTCCCAGATAAGGATTCTTTCCTGGGTCCCTCAGCTCTGAGTATTCTCTTTTGGCTTTTAACTTGTTCTGGAAGAATGACCACCAATCTATTTAATGTTTTCCTCCATTTAACTTTTTTTTTTCTTCAAAAGGATCCTGCAGAGTTAAAAACAATACTATTTTTGCATAGACTTCTCTTTTGACAGCTTTGATTTTCCTGGCAATTTAATTTTCAGGGTGCCAGGACTTTAATTTGTTCACAGATTAAAATCTGTTTATTTGGTCCCGTAAATAAACAACAGAGGGGATACTTGAATGTGTCTAAGATAAAATATTCTTAATTTTCTGGATAAAGAAAAGGACCAGACAAACCAGTTAATAGCGAGTAAACCAGTTGTTTTCATGAGGCATAAGATAAAACAGAGACCAGATTTTTTTTCTTCTTGAGACTATTGATTTGCCAATAGGGCAACTATTTTTGGTCTACATACATACAGTAGTTACACCTCACACTTGGTTAGGAAGGTGCCATTTTTACATAATTTTCCTTCAGAATAATTAATTCCTGATACTTTGTACTTGATTGTATGAACCAGTTTCAACATCATTCTTTTTATTTTAACTTTTATTATGGGAACTTTCAAACATATACAAAATAAACAGAATAGTGTCCTGCTTTAACAGTTATTAACTCCTGACCAATCTTGTTTCATCTCTAATGGTATCCACTTGCACCCTTACCACCCATAATTATTTTCAAGCAAATCCTAAATATCATGTCATTTCATTCATTATTTTTTGGGATACTAATTACACAGTGGGTGCCCAGTAAATGTTTGGTAAAGACAAAGCTAAATGGGAGAATAAATGTGGTAGGGTAGCTCGGAGCAGTGGGTAAGATCAGGACTTTGAGTCAGACTCCCAGTGGGTCTGCTGCTTATCTGGGTGATGTGCAGAAGCGATTGCACTCATCTGTAAAACATACGGGCACAACCTCAGGGTGCTCAGGAGGTGTACAGTAGTTATACTTCACACTTCGGTAGGTCTCTAAAGGTACTGACTCTTTTAAAGTTGAAAAAGTAATAATTGCTTAATATCATCAAATAACTAGTCAATATTCAAATTTCCAGCTGCCCCATGAATTTTAGGTTTCCTTAATAGTTTGAAAGTAGAGCAAGAGAAGGCCATACGTTGTTGATTGGATGATACGTCTTTTAAGTTTCTCTTAATCCATAGATCCCCCTCCTATTTCTTTGTTTTCTTGGTAGTTTATTTGTTGAAGCAATCGAGTTGTTCCTTAGCATTTCCATAGTTGGTATTTGATTGATTGCATCTCTGCAGTGTAATTGAATGTGTTTCTCTGTAATCTCTGTAAGTTAGTAATTGGATCTAGACGAGGCTTCGTCAGATTTAGGGTGCATTCCTGCATCAAGATGCCTTCCTAAGTGGGCTGTGCACTTCTTATCTAGAGGTACCCTGAGGCTCTCTGCTCGTCCGTGTTGCAGATGAGTGCAATCGCTTGCTGCACATCACCCAGATAAATAGCAGACCCACTGGGAGTCTGAAGTCAAAGTCCCGATCTTAACCACTGCTCCCAGCTGCCCTACCGCATTTTTTCTCCCATTTAGCTTTGTCTTTAACAAACATTTTTTGGGCACCCACTGTGTAATCAGTAGAGGATTGAGAAATAAATCAGACACATTTTCTGCCCTTACAGAGTAGAAGTGTAAGTAGACTCGGAATGCAATCTAAAGCGAATACTGGGAGGGTGGCAAAAATGGGGGCATGCCCAGCATGGTTTGAAGGGAAAGGCTGGAGGAGGAAACATGTAAGAGAAGCAAGTGCTTGAACTAGATTTTTGAAGGAGGGTGAATGTTGACCAGCAGGTCAAAAAGGGGAGGGAAGTCATTTCAAGCAGATGGAACAGCTTAGGCAGAGGCCTGAAGGTGTGCAGTAGCTGGGTGTGTCCGCTGATCCCAGGTGGTTTGATGTTGCCTAAGATTGGGCCAGAGGACTGCCATCTCCTGTGCTGTGCTAGGGAACTGAATCTTATTCTCCAGGCAGTCAGTCACTGTTGAAGGAGTTCAAATGGGAGAATGGTGTGATCACTGCACACTTTCAACAAATCTCTCTTTTTTCTTTCCATATTTTGAAATAATTATAGATTCACAGGAAGTTGCACAAATGGCACAGAGAGGTCCCAGTACCCTTCCCCCAGCTTTCTCCCACGGTTACATATTTACACAACTGTAGTAAAATGTCTAAACCAGGACATTGGGCATCGGAGCAAGGTGTATAGAGTTCATTGTCATTTTTTATCGTGTGAAAATTCCTATAACCACTACCACAATCAAGATTCAAAACTATGTCATCATCCCAGATATCTCCTTGTCCCACCCCCTTACAGCCACAGCAGCCCCTTTTCCCCACCATTCATAACTGCTGGCAAGTACTAATCTAGTCTGCATCTCTATACTTTTGTCTTTTCAGGAATGTTATATGCATGGAGTTATACAGGATGTGACTTTTTGAGATTGGCTTTTTTCGTTGACTATCCTGCCCCTGAGATCCACCCAAGTTGTGGTATGTTTCAGCAGTTGCTGAGTGGTATTCCATGGTATGGGTATACAGCAGTTAGTTTAACCATTTACCCATTGAAGGACAGGTTTGGGTTGTTTCTAGTTTGGCACTATTAAAAATAAAGCTGCTGTGAACATTTGTGTACATATTCTCACGTGGAGTGATTTCTCTTTCTAAAGTGGCATGTGTGCAGTGGTTCGGAAGTCACAGAAATGGTGGCTGGGAGAATGCTTCTGCTGTCGCTGGTCCAAGGAGCCACGAGAAGCCCTTACCCAGGGCCCTGGGAGTGGGGGATTGAGAGGGAAATAGGCAGGCCTGGGTGCCTGGAAGTGGGGCTGGTGACGGAGATCCTTGCAGGGTCCTATGGATCCAACAGTGGGTGAAGTGATAACCAAATGCTAGTTGTTCTGTATTGTGGTATATACTGTGGCTTAAGAACTACAGAGGATGGCCCTGAGAGCTGCAAGGTTCTTGATTATCAAAGAAAGATTACGTTGTTATACCAAGCTATTCTTCATAAGAATTACAGTAGGAGGCCAGGCGCGGTGGCTCACGCCTGTAATCCCAGCACTTTGGGAGGCTGAGGCGGGCGGATCATAAGGTCAGGAGATCGAGACCATCCTGGCTAACACAGTGAAACCCCATCTCTACTAAAAATACAAAAATTAGCTGGGTGTGCTGGCGGGCGCCTGTAGTCCCAGCTACTTGGGAGGCTGAGGCAGGAGAATGGCGTGAACCTGGGAGGCGGAGCTTGCAGTGAGCCGAGATCATGCCACTGCACTCCAGCCTGGGCGACAGAGCGAGACTCCGTCTCAAAAAAAAAAAAAAAGAAAAGAAAGAATAAAGAATTACAGTAGGAAAATAGAACTTTTTAAATTTTTACTATTTTTTTTTTTTTGAGACGGAGTCTCGCTCTGTCGCCCAGGCTGGAGTGCAATGGTGTGATCTTGGCTCACTGCAAGCTCCGCCTCCCAGGTTCACGCCATTCTCCTGCCTCAGCCTCCCTAGTAGCTGGGACTACAGGCGCCCGCCACCACACCCGGCTAATTTTTTGTATTTTTTTAGTAGAGACGGAGTTTCACCATGTTAGCCAGGATGGTCTCCGTCTCCTGACCTCGTGATCCACACGCCACAGCCTCCCAAAGTGCTGGGATTACAGGTGTGAGCCACCGCACCCGGCCAGATTTTTACTATTATTATTATTATTATTGTTTAATATAGAGTTGAAGCCTCACCATGTTGCCCAGGCTGGTCTGGAACTCTTGGGCTTAAGTGATCCTCCCACCTTCGGCCTCCCACAGTGCTGGGATTACAAGTGTGAGCCATCTTGCCCAGCTGGAAAACAGAACAATTTAATGAAAAAAATGTCGGCAGCAAGCATTGAGACAGAGGGTGATTGTGAGAATCTGCTTTTAATCACAATAGTTAGTTGATTTAAATATCGCATGTCCTGGGTACTCTGAAGCTTTAGTGTGATGAAAGGTTCACTTGAGTCTGTGGATCACTGAATCGTTGTCATCGTTAGAGGAAAAAGTGTTTTGGTAGGTTTTGGTAGGGGGAGTCAGCAAGGTGAAATGTGCAGGACTGTGTGCTGGTCCTGGCCAGCCCATGTGCAAATAGCTTCACTTTCTAAAGGGATATCAGAATGGTGCTTTGGGAGGAACTTGAATATTGTGGTGAAACACTCCTAAATTCAAATCTGAGCCATGCTGGGAATTTGGACAACTTCCTTACTGGACAACTTCCTCTAAGCCTCAGTTTCCTCATTTGCAGAGCGGGGATAGTAATATGCTTCTCACTAGTTGTTATAAGGGTGTTGATAAATGTGTACCTCAGAGCCAGGCCCACTCTCATGCCTCTAGCCTTATCTGCCTGAAGCCCGTCTTCCATACAAGTGTCAAATGATCATTCTGCAGCTTTTCATTTAACATGTGTTGTTTAATCAGTTTTTAAATGTGAAATATGTACATTTGAAAAACAGAATAGAAAGTTATAATGGGAAGAAAGTTTCTCATTTCCCACTATTTCTCTACTTGCCAGCATTGTGTATGTGCGTGTGTATGCGTGTGTGTGTGTTTACGTAGCTGGGCATTATGTGTTCTCTTCTTCAACTTGGTGTATTTCCTTTCTGTATCTTAGACATCTTTCCACATTGATACATAAAGTCCTTGCATTCTGTTGAATGGCCTTGTTGTACTTCTGTGCCATAATTTATTCAGTCCATCCACAGTGTGCATTTTAGATTACTTCTAGTTTTTTGCCTGTTACAAGAAGTGTTACAAACATGCTTGCACAAATATGTTTGGATACTTGTACACGTATTTGTCAGATACACTTAGAGAATTGTGTTTGCCAGTTTAGGATATGCAGTTAACATTTTTATTAGCCAGATCTATATTCCATCTAAAAAAATGTTTTACCACTTCTCAGCTCTCACTGACGTGTATGAAAGTGCCTGTTTCCTCATGCCTCGGTCGATACTGTGAACAAACTTGAGCTCAGGTCTTGCCTCCTCCAGGAAACCTCCTTGTAGCGTTCCCTCCCAGTTTTGAGTTGCTCATAGCCTGGAAGGGAGGCAGACCCTACAAAGGCTGTGACAGTGCAGCCTGGCGGGCGCTGCTGAGTGCACAAGTGGCAAGGAGGGAGCCCTGTGCTGGACGGATGGTGGCAGCACAGCCTGGGAGCTGAGGGGGAGGAACCAGCACCGGCTGGTGTGGGAAGTGGAGGCAGCGAATGCAGGCTTTAGTGTATTGCTAATGTGGTTTCATGAAGAATTCTTGTACTTCCCGATTTGTAAAACTGTTTTCTGAGCCCCAGTTGATGGTCCATTTTGTTGAAATATCATCTCAATAGAGTTGACTCATGAATAGCTAAATTACACACCTTCTCAGGTGGCCTTAAGTTTCTTTCTCTTGCTCTCACAAAGCCCAAACTTGACAGAGAAGGTGGCTTTAACAGGTTTTCACTTAGGTGACTTTTTTCTCCTGCATAATAAGGGTACCTTATTTTAATTTTATAATTATTTTAAATCTTTTTGTTTGTTTGTTTTTGAGATGGAGTCTCGCTGTGGCCCAGGCTGGAGTGGCACGATCTCAGCTCACTGCAATCTCCACCTCCCGGTTCAAATGATTCTCCTGCATCAGCCTCCCAAGTAGCTGGGATTACAGGCACGCACTACCACACCCGGCTAATTTTTGTATTTTTAGTAGAGATGGGGCTTCACCATGTTGGCCAGGCTGTTCTCAAACTCCTGACCTCAAGTGATTCCCCCACGTTGGCCTCCCAAAGTGCTGGGATTACAGGTGTGAGCCACCATGCCCGGACTATTTTAAATCTTGAGATGGAATTACAATTCTAAAACCTAATATGAGTGAATATACTCCCCAAATTTAAAAAAGTTAACCTAATATTGTCATAGTCCAAATATAGGTTGAAAGCAGTTATAGCAGGGAGAGTTGCAGAGTTGGTCAGCAGGGTTGAGATTGATCTGTCAGTCCCAACGTGGACACGGGGTCCTGAATGGGGGGTGGCTCTGTGCCATGAGGTAGTTAAGGAATCCAGCTGGTGGGCAGCTTTCCATCTACAGCATGTGACTTCCATCTCTGGGTCTGTGACAGCTGATCCCTCAGCCAGCAGCAAGGAAGAAAGATTGGAGGGCAAGCAGCTTTCTGTAAAGAAAAATAAAAGTGATCTGGAAGTTGCATACATCACTTCTACCCACATCTTATTAGTCAGAACTTGGTCATCTGGCCATACCTGGCTGCTGGGAAAGCTGCCAGGCGTCGTCTCTAGTTGGGCAGCCATTTATCTAGCAGGAAGGGGAAGGAAGGCTTCTCTTATGAAAGCGAGGAAGGGAGGGATGGATCCTGGAGCACCTCAGCGCCTGTGTCGCACCTCTGATGTTTTGACGGCTTCCACAGCCCTCAGGACTGAGGCCAGACGGCTCTGCGTGGCTTCTGGGGCTCATAGTGATCTGGCCTCCTTTTCTCTCTCCAGCTTCACTCGCCCTCTACCCAGCAAGTCCCTAGTGACTTGTCACATTCCGAATGTGCCTCCGCCTCTGCTGCTTCTCCTCCCATTCCCCCAAATCTTCTTCACCCTACTGGGTTTAGGACCCTTGGTGTGCAGGGCCTCCTCCTGAGTGTGCGCTCACTGAGGGCAGGCGAGTGTCCTGGCATGGTACCTCACCATCCACAGCGGGTGCTCAGTACATGCTTGCAAGTAACTGTGTTGCTGGTGTGTTGACGGCATAGCAGAGGAACAGCCACCCTCCGTAAAGCAGGTGGTAGTGGGTGCCTGCCTTTTTGCTGAGTTGTCTCTAATCCTTTGCACTTGTACCCCGCTAGCCAAGCTCAGCAGTTCGCTGTGTCTGGACACAGTCAGTTTGAGCTCTGTGGCTCTACTGTCCATCTCTGGCAAAAGAGTCTGAGGGCGGATGCCGCCTCCTCCTTGAAGCCGTCCTTGTCTTCTGCCCCTGCCAGTGGGTAGGATCTCTTTTGCCTTTTGATTTTGTTTACATTGTGCTTATGGCCCTTACCGCACTGTGACTTGTAATATAGATAATGGACTCACTGCTCGCGCTTCTCCCCCAAATAGTGAAGTACATGTTGTTTCAAGACTGGTTGCTAGCTGACTATGGCATATCTTTTGCTATACTTACCACTTTCGTGCATAAAGGTACCCCCTAAATGTTGAGTGGAATTGTTTCAGCCTCTTGCAAACTGTAAATAAGCTAATCTTTAGAAAGGATCTTCCTTTAGATATCAGTAAAATGGAGCAGCACTGTGGGGAATCAGATCAACAAAGGTTTATTGAATGCTCACAGTGCCCCAAAGACCAGCTTCCTGTCCTCCTGTCCTTGGAGTATGAGATGCCATGAGCAAGACAGACCTGCCTCGCACCTCCTATAGCTTAGAGCACAGTGACCTGCCAGCCTGGAGAGCTCCTGAGTCCCCTTCTCACAGCAGTGTGGGCTAGGCAGGTGTTCCAGCTCACTCAGCCCTAGATTGCTCCCAGGTAACACGGGACTGAGACTCCTGCGGTGCGGGTTGTATGAGCAGCTGTTTGTCCAGCATCTAAGCGCTGTGGCGTCACTGGAGTCACTCCCTGGCTGGCACGCTAACACACCTCGGCAGGAGTGGTCAGAGTGGCAGCCACACTGCAGCCACCACCCAGAGGACGGGGAGAAGACCGTGGGGCAGTGGTCACTTGGAGAAATTATTAATTTGACTCAGTTCTTTATTTAGACTTGTTATTAATCCATTTTTTCCATGTTTAAGGAAAATCCTAGCATTTGTGTTGAAATATAAATCATCACCACAAAAATCTCATTAGGTTGACGTTAAATATTAGATACTAGAACATAAAGGCAAGGGATTTGACAGAGCTGTAGAATACATTCTGTAGTCTTAAACGGTATAGAATGTTTACCTATATGATTTTATTGTTGGCTATGTAGTTTTAAAAGACCAAAATAAATAGCTTGCTGACTTTTAAATAAGCATAACCAGACACGAGCCTAGGAACCACTTGCCAATTTGTTTGCTTGTTTTCTGTATAAAATCATCCAGGCTCCTGCAGAGCAGCAGTCTCAGCCTGTGCCTCAACCACAGAAAAGCTGCTTTCTGGGCCTGCTGGCCTACACTCAGACATAGTGGATAGACTTCCTAGTGTTACTATGATGGACTGTCAGTCACAGCAGAGTTCTTCATATACAGATCTCTACCCTGAAGTCCGGTGGTGATGTGGGACTCTGGGGCTGTGCCAGCTGATGCCAGCTCTGGGACCCACCTCCTGAGGCAGGAGCACGTGCTTGGGCACATGCAGCACACTGATGCCACCAGGCCTCTGACAGCCTGTCACTTTGGCGTATGAATCTTGCTTTTTGGTTCATCATTTCAACCAGAATCTATACACTGAGCAGAAGACTGGTCCGTTTGCTTCTCTTTAGGCATTCTAGAAGTGATCATTTTTGAAACAATGCCTCCGTCTCTAGACAGCTAGGTGTAAATGAACCATTTACACCTAGCTTGCCCACAGGGGGCAAGCTGATGAGACGCACAGAGTGATGTAGTCTTTTCATAGCCAGTAGTAATGCATACATTCTTTTCTCCAAAGGTGGTTATTTTCTAGTCCAGCCCCTTAAAGTGTGGTCTTGCTGGGCCTCAAAATTCCTTCCTTTCATAATGGTCTGGTACCACTGAAATGTCTGCATTTTTTTGTGTCTTGCTTAAGTTCAGAACTTGGTCAGATTGACTTTATCAACTTACAGCCACATTGTCTTACATACCAATAAGTTCAGAACTCTCTTACGTGAGCTGCGTATGTACTTCCGGTAAGAATGCACGTTCATTCTGTTTTTCTTTGAAGGGATCTGAAACTTGCCCACCCTTCGGGATATTGCAGGACGCTGCATCATGAGCGACAGTAAATGTGACAGTCAGTTTTATAGTGTGCAAGTGGCAGACTCAACCTTCACTGTCCTAAAACGTTACCAGCAGCTGAAACCAATTGGCTCTGGGGCCCAAGGGATTGTTTGGTAAGTATGGTCTGTTTTAATAGCGTGGATTGAGTTTTTGCTGTAATAAAAAGTAAAACTAAAGTGTCAGGATTTAGAAACATTGATGATTAAAAAAAAAACTCTGTTATAGGTTTATGAGCTAAATTGAATCAACTGCTTGCTCTAGTTCTGTGTAGTCAGGCTGTAGGGTACAAACCCATATTCTTAGAATGCTGCAGGAATTTAAATAGGTAGCAAGTTTTCTTTTTTGTTTGTTTCTTTTTCCTTTCATTTTTTTTTTCATTTCTCCTGTCATTATGATATCAGAGTAGTAGGTATGACAGTGAGTTGTAACAGAAATTTGGAGTTTTATTCATTTCTTCATCATGGCCACCTTTTCCCCCCTCCCCTTTTATTCCCGATCACTCCTGTTCATTTCCAGGCGCCATCATTGCAGTGCCTTGCCATTCATTGGCAGGATGAGGCCAGTCAGTGTCATTGTCACTCCATGGATTAACCAGGAAGGGATGCTGTGTGAGGGGTTGGGCTGGCCATCTCTTCCTTGGTGTCTCACTTCAACTGTGTGTCCAGCCCAGAACGTCAGAATCGTTAGTCTGACCCTGAACGTTAGTCTCTTGCATGGTAAGACGGTCAGCCGCCGCAGCATCACGGGCCAGCTCAAGGTAAAGCTCTTCACATGTTTCCTAGACTGCAGCTATCAGCACTTCCCACACTTTTTACCCCTTATTTTTCTGGGCAGAACTTTTTTTTTTCTTTTTCTTTTTCTTTTTTTTTGGTCAATGAAAACAGGATTACCTTTGCGCCTAAAGAAACCGTGGTGCAGTTAAACATCGCGTGTTTACAGCTGGTAGGCAGAGGGGGTTGAGGGAGAAGAAAGCTCTTTTCGATGCTCTAGTAGGGTAGTTTACATTTCCTTGTAGAGATGTTGGGTTTGGAGAATCTTTAACGATGATTTTTAACTGATCCTTTGTTGCGGAGACCTATGATCAGGGAAACAGTTGTTTTTTTCAGCCCTGGCGGCTGAAGGCCCTGGGAGCTAAGAGGAAATTGCAGTCCAGAGCTTCTTTGAGAAGCTAAGGCGGGAAAGGGACTGTTTGGAAGGAATGCCCAGCTTGCATCTAAAGTAATGGTGATCTTAACTTCCTGATGACACATGCTGTATCGGCACTTAAATCCAGTGTGCCAGAAGAAGTGTTAAAGGTGGCCGGGCACGGTGGCTCACGCCTGTAATCCCAGCACTTTGGGAGGCCAAGCTGGGCAGATCACGAGGTCAAGAGATCGAGACCATCCTGGCCAACATGGTGAAACCCCGTCTTTGCTAAAAATACAGAAATTAGCCAGGTGTGGTGGCACACACCCGTAGTCCCAGCTACTCGGGAGGCTGAGGCAAGAGAATCGCTTGAACCTGGGAGATGGAGGTTGCAGTGAGCCAAGATCGCGCCACTGCACTCCAGCCTGGGCGATGGAGCAAGACTCCGTCTCAAAAAAAAAAAAAAAAAAGTTTTAAAGTTAGTGGAGGATGGTTCAAATTAGGAAACTTTGATGGTAATGGAAAGTTATAAACAACAAAGCATTCTTTTGGTTTATAACCCATCTCCTATTTGGAATTAGATGATAATTTGACAGATAATTTGATGTGTGCATGCGAGAGAGAGAGAGAAAAAGGAGAGAGGGGGCAAGAAGGGAGAAATGTCGGAGGTCTTGGGGAGTTGTTTGTGGCTATAGACAGGTAGCTGTTTTATTTATTTATTTATTTTTTTGAGACAGAGTCTCACTTTGTCACCAGGCTGGAGTGCAGTGGCGCGATCTCAGCTCACTGTAGCCTCCGCCTCCTGGGTTCAAGCAGTTCTCCTGCCTCAGCCTCCCGGTAGCTGGGACTACAGGCGCACGCCACCACACCCAGCTAATTTTTGTATTTTTAGTAGAGACAGGGTTTCCCCATGTTGGCCAGGATGGTCTCGATCTCTTGACCTCATGATCCACCCACCTTGGCCTCCCAAAGTGCTGGGATTACAGGCATGAGCCACTGCGCCCGGCCTACAGGTAGCTGTTTTAAATACGTGCTTCATTTATCCCAGCTGGCATGTCATTCACTTGCTTTTGAAGGTTGGTAGTAATGTGAATAGTGTATATTGTAGAATCACCATGAGCTCTGCCATAACCCTCACTGGTGGTGAATCGAAGGACTAGGAAGGCTCACTTGCTTCTCCCGTCTCACGGGGTGTTAGTGGTAGGCCTGGGACCAAAACAAGCTGTGGGCCTTTGGGACCTTATTGCCTGTACCACGGAGAGACTTGTTGAAGACTTTGAACCACTGATACTTTGATAGGTCAAGGCCTCTGACCCACCTTCTGTTTAGAATCTTAGTAATAATGAACAAATATTCACTAAACACCTATTAAACAATTTTCATTTAATTGTATTTATCTCTATAAGACAATTGTTACATTCAAGAACAGTTTCAATTTTTATAGCTATAACTGACTTTCAGTTTTATGGTATCCTTCTATCTTATGTTCTAATAGGGAAAGTAAACACTTTATAAGTGATTTTCGCTTCCTTTTCACCTTTCTCTTTTCTCTGTATCCTTCACCAGGCTATGAGGCACCAAGTAGAATTGGGAAATAATCTAGTTACGGCACATTCCCGTTTCAAAAAAGAAAAAAAAGCTTGCTTTTCCAAAAATAAGCTCAACAGTAGATTAGCTAACACTGACAAGAGGAATTGGATTTTCTATCATATTTCGTATTAAAATATTGGCATTATGTAGTTAATTGATGATCTGAAACTTCCTTTCATCACTATTGTACTTGAAAATCATCTGTCAGTGATTCTTTGGGGAGTGTAGCATGCAGAATAATGGTCCCGCCTGAGATGTCCACGTCCTAATCCCTGGAATTTGTATATTTCTTTACATGGCAAAAGGAATTTAGCCGGTGTGATTACATTAATGGTCTTGAGATGGGAGGGTTATCCCAGGTTTAGTTGGGTGGGTCCTTCTTACAAAAGGGAGACAGGAAGGTCATAGTCAGAGATGTGATGGCAGAGCGAAGTTTGGAGTGATGTGGGGCCACAGCCAAGCAATACAGGAAGCCTCCAACCAGCTGAGAGAGGCAGGGAGCAGACTCCCCCCAGAGCCTGCAGAAGGAGCCACGCAGCCCTGCTTACCTCTTGAGGCATAAGATGCATTTTGGACTTCTCACCTCCAGAACTGTAAGATAGTAAGTTTGTGTGGCTTTAAAGCAGTAAATTGGTGGTTACTTGTTACAATAGCAATAGGAAACTAATTCACAAGCATGTGTATTTCTACATTTTTGAGAAATATAACAGCAACAGTGTATGGTTTATGCAACTAGTTAATCTTCTATTTAAATTAGAGCTTTATGAAGGGCAGGTGTGCAGATAAACCAACGTGCAGGTAGGGCCTGTGACCTGTACAGGATTAAATGGAAGAGCTGGAGCCAGAAGAAAATATTCTGGTTCCTAATTTTGAATTGTTTTTATAGTTGTCTTTGATTTGTTTATTTGTTTTTGTTCCTTTAAATATGTTAGTAAAATTTATTAGGAAATAAGTTTTTAAATTTTAAAATATTTTATTTTATTTTTGAGACGGAGTCTTGCTCTGTCACCAGGTGGAGTGCAGTGGCGTGATCTTGGCTCACCGCAACCTCCGCCTCGCGGGTTCAAGTGATTCTCCTGCCTCAGCCTCCCGAGTAGCTGGGATTACAGGTGTGCGCCACCACGCCCAGCTAATTTTTTGTATTTTAGTAGAGATGGGGTTTCACCATGTTGGCCAGGATGGTCTCCATCTCTTGATCTCGTGATCTGCCCACCTTGGCCTCCCAAAGTGCTGGGATTGCAGGCATGAGCCACCGCGCCTGGCCTAAAATAAGTTTTAAAATATAATTTTGAAGTATTCATAAATATCAACTGTGTTATAGTACAATTAAATAATTGTAAGATTTTGAAGCTCTAGTGGAGAAAATGTATGTACATTTCTTTCATACATATATTCAGTTTTTCTTTCTCCTTCAAAAATCTCAAGTTTGGCCAAAATAGTAAAGATTATTTGCTTTACGAAACCATTCTATGAAATGCTTAACCTTTAAAAAAGTGTTCAATATTGAGTCTGGCGGTTCTTAGAAGTAACAGTTACAGCCTTAACATGAAATAATTGGTATAGCGTGTTCCTTTTTGTGTCCTCAAGTTCTGTATAAACATGAGTACTGGCCTGTTCTTAACATGGTTTATTTTCTATTAATATAAATAAATAAAAACATAACAATGTTCACAACAAAATTTCTGTGATAAAGGAGACATGGTTTGAGGCACAGGATGGCTGTGATTCAGAAGACTTGAGTTCTGAGTCCAGCTCTTTTCCTCAGCGAAGAGTTCTTTGTGAGCAGGGCAAATCAGTTTCTTTATGGGCCTCAATATTTTCACCTGTAAAATGAGTGGTTTGGAACTTCTCATTTAAGATGGTGGCCCGAACACCTGTACAAAGATAAGAGGGCAGTAATAAGTGGAAGACAGTTTTAACAAATTTATGAAATATAGAAAGTAGCTTGAATCTTGTGATACAGATAAAACAGCAGATAAAGTGAGAATAAGCAGCTGAAGTATGTGCGTAAGGAAGAGAACCTAGCTATAGTAAAACTACAGAGGCTGTGGGCATAGAGATGACAATGAAGAAGAGATGAAATGAGTGGCTAAAACTAGGGCTGTTAATTAAAAGTGTGCCTGTGAAACAGCTGTGCCAGTTTTCTGCCAACATTCCCACTGTCCCCCATGCTCAGCATTTTCCCCTAGAGAGCTAGTAAGTTAGTGAGGAGTTACTAGGTCAGGATCTGGGGAAGCACAGAAGCCTAGTGAGGGGAGCTTCAGCATGTGGGGCTGTCTTTCCCTTGGGGGCATTTGAAAATTCTGGAAGGGGCTGTTGAGAGAGTGTTTTGGACTGCCCTGTGGCTAGGAGACAGGGATGAGAGTCCAGGGCCCTCTAATATTGTGTGGCAAACTTCTTTTACTTGTGTTGGGACCAATAAAAGGCTGCTTCCTAGAAGTAAAGGTAACTCAGAGATTGGCCCTTATAGGCACTGCCACTCAGCTTCAGATTATCATCTCATTTGCTGAACTTGTATGGGGGTAAACAAAAATTGCTAGTGCCCCCAGGTACCTAGTAGAAATAAATTTAAATTCTTTGTGGAAGAAGACAGCATCATATTAGATAAAATTATTTCTAGATAGCAAACAGTTTTATACGTGCAAGGCCCAGTCTAGGCACACAAGGAGATATGACAACATGAATAAAATCCTGCAGAAACAGCAGACAAAAGAAACAGATCCATAGGAGATATTGGCATTATTAGATCCACATTTTTAAATAGCTATGATATTACGTTCAAGGTGATAAAGGCAAGATTAAAAGTTTTGGTGGAGAAATGAAAACTTCTTTTAAGAGGAATAAATCAAAATTCTAGAAGTAAAAACTATAGTAATTGAATTATGAATTTAATATGTGTAACAGCATGCTAGATATAACTGAAGAGAGATTTAGTGACCTGGAGGAGAGGTCAGCAAAAAGTATCCAGAATGAAAGCTGCAGAGGCAAAAATGGTAGAAGAGCCCAAAACAGAGAAGGTGTTAGTTTTCTATTGCTGCATAACACATTAACACAAACTTAGTTGTTTAAAACAACACCTATTGATTATCTCATAGTTCTATAGTCAGAAACCTGGGTGGGTTTGCCTGGGTTCTTTGCCCAGCA